>NC_000004.12:87709259-87860774 GCF_000001405.40 Homo sapiens | reverse complement strand
ATTGCTTGAACCAGGGAGGCGGAGGTTGCAGTGAGCTAAGATTGCGCTGCTGAACTCCAGCCTAGGCAACACAGCGAGCCTCCATCTCAAAAAAAAAAAAAAAAATTAGTCTCAGTAGTATATAGTCATTACTAAAAAAATATGTGTAGAATTGGAGTAAAGCTGACGTCTTGCTATCTGATATGATTTTACATCTTAAAAAGAATGGAAGTTCCCACAGACCTGCTTTGGGTTAATGATGTAGTTCAAGAGTGTGAGTGTGAAACCTCTAGCAACTAACATTATCAATTCAGGTTAACCTTAGCTCCAGAAAAAAGATCTGTATCCAGCTAATTAAAAATACACACACACACATACCACACATTGTATATATGTATGTATAAAATCACCTCTAATTATGAGGGCACAATTTGCTTAGGTGGCAGGATGAGCTACTGGAAATCAATTGTGGTTGAGCAGTTTTTTGTGTCATGAACTTAATAGGACAGAATAAAAGCTGATTTGTGCTATGCTACCTACACCACCAGTCTCCCCCAAAAAAGGGGAAGACAGGAGTTTCTAAGAGTCAATGTTTATTAAACCTTATTGTGCTTAAGCAATATTTGAAAAGCCTTTTAAAATATGTAGACTTCTAGTGTGAACCTGGAAGAGCAGAGAACCTGGTTCTTTCAATCTGCAGTAAGACCCAGGTATTAATACATGTAATTACTGGAAAGAGTGTTTTCATTCCCTTGAGTTTCCTCTGACCTCTCTGGCTGCTCCTCTTTGACTTTTTTATTTTTTTTTTCTGCTGGTTTCTCCTCAGTTCTCTGACCTCTAAGCTTTAGTGTGATCAAGGGTTTGAACTTTTCGGTCTTCACTCACTCCCTTGATAATTTCAGCTATTCCTATGACTCCTAACCTATCCATATGATGCTGACTCTGAAATTTAGATCTCTAGCCTGATTGTTCCCTAAATCACAAAGATTAAGTGTCCATCTTCTTCCACAGCATTGCCTTTTGGATGTCTAATAGGCATTATCATAGTTTCAGGTGTTCAAAAACAGACTCTAAGAAAGGATTCAATTACTAGCTCTTGCTATTGTTGTTGTTTGTTTTATTTTGATGGAGAGGGATATGAAGGTAAGGAAATGGGGAAGTGAGACAAACAAATAAAGAAATCCAACAAAGAACTTATTATCAAGCCAGCTACCACTGTGGGAACTTGAGTATATTCTTACTTTCCAGAATTCTGAGGACTAGTATAAAACACAACCTCTTAGTTCTCCTAGCCAAAAGGTGAGGGAACTTGGGGTATTTATACACCAAATCCTGCCAGTTACTGGCTGATGGCTGCTCCTGGAAGGCATTAATTCCCCAGCACTTCCAGGGATGTTGGTGGTAAAGTAGACTCCATTGGCAAAAGAGTCCTCCAGCAAGGATGTGAAGTTCTGGCATTGGGAGTTGGTTGGGTGTGCACTGCAGTGGACGAGAGGACAGATGGGGGCATAAACCACTCTTGCATCAAGAGCTTCAAGTTTAATTTAGTCTTCTAATATTCATTAATTGCAATCCTGCTTCTCTCACATGATTCCCAACCTCAAAAGCTGTTCAGGCTGAAAACTTGGGAGTCATTGTTGAGTCTTTCCTAGCTTTCACCCCCCAGAGCCAATCCACCAGCAAATTCTGTTCACTTTACCTTCAAAACACATCCTGATCCCAAATACTTCCCTCCAAACCTACTGTTACTCCCGGCCACCCTCTCCTCTTGCCTAGATTGTCACCATAGCCTCCTAACCTGCCTTGCGGCTTCTGCCTCTGCCCCAGTTTTCACCCAGCAGCTGGGGGATCCTGTTAAAATGGAGGTCAGATGATGGCACTGCCTTGTTCAAAACAATCTGATGGCTTCCTATTCCACTCATCGTAAAAGCCAAACTATTTTCTATAACCTATTAAATCTTATATTTTGACACTCTCCCTGACCCCAACTCCATTATATCTCTAACCCCATCTCTTTCTACCCTGACTACCCTCTTTGTACCAGCCACACAAGTCATACTTGGTGTTCCTCAACATGCTAGGCACATGCCTGCCTCAGGGGCTTTGCATATGCTGTTCCCCCTGCTTGGAACATTTTTTTCATCTCATATCATCTTGGCTGGCTTCCCTACTTTCTTTGAGGTTGTATTCATAAGTCACGTGTTCATTTTGAGTTTTTGTTGCCACTCTACACAAAATATTAGCCCTCTCCACAAGTTCTTAGACTTTTTCTCCAACTTAGTATTTTCCTTAGCTTCTGTGGCTGTATTGTATAGTATATATTTTATTTAATATAACTTGTTTATTGCCAGTATTCACCATAAATGTAAACTCTTAAAGGCAGGAATTTTAGTTTATTTTGTTCATTGCAGTATCCTCAATGCCTAGTACCTTGTTGGCTCTCAGTAGATATTTGTTGAATAAATGAATTAAATTCATACTGTTATACTTTTTTTGAACTCATTCAAATCTGAACCATAAAGCAAATTAATTTATGTGCAGGATCAGACTAAAGTTTAATAGAAGGCTCATTTATCCATTGAAAGAAAATTATTCAGTAGGAGTGTAGACAAAGATCGACATAAATTGGTATAATTTGCATGACTGACACACTCTTTTAAGGGTGAGGAAAAAATGGCTGCAATGTTTCCCCTCCTCTCACCATACCTTTTGTTGGTTAGGTCATTGTTGCTTAAGTAGTTGTATGTTTCAGGGCTTATCTTTGTGATTTGTTTTTGCCGGTGGGTCATTAGCAACCATGAGGCAAGCAGGGCATTGGAAAGTACTTACATATGAGACTGTCACAAGACTGAGCCTGAGCTAGCCTGCTGGAGGATGAAGGTCATGAGCAAGAGAACTGAGGCAACAGCCTGCCGAACACCAGGCATGTGAGTGAGGGAGTGAGGCTATACGTGACCAGCCAGCTGAGCACAGATACGTGAGAGAGCCCAGGTGAGATCAGCTGAACAGTCCAGTCTGGAAGAACCTCCTAGCCAAGCCAAAGGCCTACAAGCTAAATAAAGTCCTTTTTGTTTCAAGCCCCTAAGTTTTCAGGTGGTTTAATGATATCTATGAATGTATTTCCCAGATAGTTCACACTTTGTTTTCATGTTTTCCAATTTTCCTTTTAGTTTCTCTCATTTGTTGTATTTATTATAAGTCCTTAGAGGAGCTTCTACACAAGTGTCCACTACCCTAATTTCAACCCAAATATTTAAGTATGAAGTCCTACAACGGTAAGATTTGATGTATTATTTCTCCCCATCTAAATCACATGATTTGACCTGTCCTAAAGGTAATAAATTATCATAAATAAAGAAGTCTGGCTTAGTGTATTCCAAATATGTAACCTATAAAATGTGTTTTAATTCTTTAGCCTGCTTGTTTTAATAGAGATGCTTGGTACTACGTTGTTGTGAATGACCTAAGTCAATTAAGCTATTCACAATTATCAGGTTGTTCGGATAAGCATTGGCACATCCAGTAGTGAGGAGTGGCCGGGAACTATGGGATTCTTTTCCCATGGCTTTGCTCCCATGGTGGTATCCAACAGTGAAAACAAGTCTCAGACCGAATGCTACCACATGTTCAAGCATTTATTAGCAAACAGACAAAAACAGCCAAGAGCCTGTTCCTTCAGGGACAACAAAGTCTCCACTGTGACCTCTTAGGCTCTCCAACAAGCACCCTGCATGAAAGGTTCACTCTTAGGCAAATGTAATAACATTCTGATGACAGGTTCAGCTAACCTTCTGATTGGGTCAGGAAATAGAATCCTTCATTATTTGAGAGATCAGATGACCTTACTCTAGAGGAATTCAGCTAATGGATGCATCAGATTCTCTCACTCTGTTCATTCAGAAAGGAGAAACCTGCATGATCTTTCTAGCTTGCTGTAGGTTTCTGTAGGTTTATTGGTTTATCCTGTCTGCAGTTCACCCACCTATTTAAATCTGTAGGTTTTTGTCTTTTGCCAATTTGGAAAGCTTTCAGCCATTATTTCTTCAAGTGCTTTTTCAGCCCTGCCCTTTTTTTCCTCTCCTTCTAGAACTCCAATGACGTAAGTGTTAGATCCATAGGTCCCTGAAGCTCTGCTCTTGTGTTTTTGTTTGTTTGTTTGTTTTTACAGGCTATTTTTTCTGTGTTCAGGTTGAAAAATTGTTCTGTCTTCTAGTGGACTGATTTTTTCCTCTGTTCCCTCCATCCTTTTAATGAGCCCATCCACTGAGTTTTTCAAAATTTCCATTATTGTCTTTTTCATGTCTAACATTTCCATCTGGTTCTTCTTTAGATCCTCTCTTTCTTTGCTGAAACTTTCTACTTTTTCATTTGTTTGAAGTGCATTTATAAATTTCTCATTGAAGCATTTCTATGATGACTGCTTTACAATAATTTGTTAGGAAATTCTAACATCTCTGCTGACTCAGTGTTGGCATCTATTGATTGCCTTTGTTCATTCAGTTTGAGATCTTCCTGTTTCTTTGAATGATGAGTGATTTTCAATTGAATCCTGGGTACTTTCATATTATAAGACTCTGGGTATTATTTAACTTCTATTTTTGCTTCCTATGACACCACTTTAGAAGGGTAGAGATAGACGCCCAGGTTTCCCACTTGGCCTCCCTTGACATCCCTGTGTGTGTGTGTGCATGTGTGTTGGGGGCTCCTCATTACTACAGGAAAGGGTGGAAGTTCTGGCTCCCCACATGGTCTCTGGTGGCACCATAGGTAGGTGGCATTGTTACTGCTAAGCAGTGGTAAAAATCTTGACTCTCCACTAGACCTCCTGTGCCCCCCCCTCAGCAGGAAGTTGCCGAGTGGGAGTGGAGTCCAGGCTGTCCTCATGGTCTCCACTGATACCACAGGAACTGCTTGTTACAGGCTGGCTGGAATGAGAGTACCAGCTCTCTTCTCAGCCTTCTGTGATACCACCCCGGAGGTGGTGGTGGTGGTGGTGACGGGGCTGAGGCACCTCGTGGTGGCGTCTCCAGGTTGGAAGTCTGGGCTCCCCCACTCAGCCTTGGCTTGTGTGGGTGGGGTTGGGGCCACAGTTTTCTCTGCGGTGTTTGGCTGGCGTAGAGTGGTTATTGTCTAAAAGTGTTCAGCGTTGCTGGACTGCCCCTTTCCTGTTCCTTTGGCTAGAGTGTGCAGGCTTTTTTTGTCTGTATTTGGTGTTTCTGGGCTGCCAGCATCTGGAGCTCCAAGTCTGGGATATATGAGACCAAAAAAAGCCCAGGAAGCTTAATGCCTTGTCATTCCTTGAGTCTTAAGGTCCCTGGCCCATCTTTTTAATTCTCTCCACCTTTCAGAGTTTTCTTGGGTCTGTTCTACATGTGTCCAGGGATTACAGTTGTAATTTGGTTGTAATCTATTTCACCTTTCCAAGGTGAAAAAAAAACCTTTAGTTTTTTTTTAAGTCTACATTATCACAGTTTTCTGTACTGTCACTATTCTGATTTCATTTTTTTCTTTTTCTTTTGTTTTTTGAAACAGAGCCTTGCTCTGTCATCCAGGCTGGAGTACAGTGGCGCGATCTCGGCTCACTGCAACTTCTGCCTCCTAGTTTCAAGCGATTCTCCTGCCTCAGCCTCCTAAGTAGCTGGGACCGCAGGAGCATGCCACCACGCCCGGCTAATTTTTGTATTTTTTGTAGACAATGGGTTTCACCATGTTGCTCAGGATGGTCTCAAACTTCTGGACTCAAATGATCTGCCCATCTTGGCCTCCCAAAGTGCTGGGATTACAGTGTGAGTCACCGTGCCCAGCCTGATTGCATTTTTGATCTTATTGCTGGTCTTGTAGGTTTAGGAAATGCTGTAGAGCTCAGCATATTGATATTAGCAAAGCATTTGACAAAATTCTTTTGTGAGCATATCTAGGCCAGTTAATAATAGAGCCATAGTCATTATTAACCAAACAGCTGCACCCAAAAAGTATTGATTAATAGATCAGCATCGGCCGGGCGCGGTGGCTCACGCCTGTAATCCCAGCACTTTGGGAGGCCGAGGCGGGTGGATCATGAGGTCAGGAGATCGAGACCATCCTGGCTAACAAGGTGAAACCCCGTCTCTACTAAAAATACAAAAAATTAGCCGGGCGCGGTGGCGGGCGCCTGTAGTCCCAGCTACTCGGGAGGCTGAGGCAGGAGAATGGCGTGAACCCGGGAAGCGGAGCTTGCAGTGAGCCGAGATTGCGCCACTGCAGTCCGCAGTCCGGCCTGGGCGACAGAGCGAGACTCCGTCTCAAAAAAAAAAAAAAAAATAGATCAGCATCAGGCTACAAGGGGGCCAACTTCAATATGCTGCAGGCACTGTCCTAGCCTGCCCTCTGCCCTGTTCAAAATTTCTTCAAACTGGTGAATGAACACCCAGGAAGTATTTGCATCTTAAGAACTGGGAGTGATAGTTAATATTTAGGATCACAAAATCGAGATTGAAGAAACTTCAATAAAATAGCATTGTGAAATAGAGCATTATGCATCCTGGATCAGAAAATAAATGATATAATACTGTACAAAGAGCAGAGCTGGTCTAATATTGTTTTTTATGGAGTAAGCACATGAGCAAACAAAAACCAGAAGGAAGTTAGTACTTATATAATTAGAAATTAAATAAGGAGAAAGGGAAACTAATATGAATTTAGCCTGTATTTTGGACCAAGTGCTGACATAGGCATTTTGTAGATGTTAAGGAGTCTAACACAATCCTAGACTATATTAACAGGATTGAGTGGCCAGAATAAAGGGTAGACTATTACATGGTCTGCTGAGATGTTCAAACAATATGTGGAATATTGTGCCCAACCAACTGGAGGTAAGTGTGGTGAAAGAGCACATGAAAGGTCATTGAAAAATGTTTAGTTTGATGAGGAGAAGTGTAGAAAACAGGAAACATGTAATGTGGAAAATGAATGCATCTTTCTGCCTAGCACCAAAAGTGTAAGGTAAGGTAATGAACTCCCTGTTAGTGTAAGTATGTAAACAGTGGCAAAATGACCAGCTATTAGGGGTGAAACACAGTGAACCTGCCTTAGGTGAGCACTGGACCAGATGATCTCTAAGGTTTCTTCCAAGAATCTCTGCACCTGTATAGAGCCAGTTAGAAAAAGAATGGCAACGTGTTAATGTCAGGGGGTTTAGCCTCACAAAACTAAGCACAGCTGATCTTGGCTTTAAGGAGATTCAGACATTAGTAAGAAAGAAAAGAGACTTTTTAAGACAAATTCCACTTTATTATCTAAGGAAACAGGAAATTCAGAGTTTTATAGGAGAGATGTATGCAAACAAAAACTAGATTAAGTTTCCAGAGGGGGCTGTTATTATTCAAACAAAAGAGCCCTTGTTTTTATTTATGGAGTTTAAAAGTAATAGGATACGGGCATTATGAAAGAGAGGCACCTGATTGTATGTTTTTTTTTTTTTTTTTTTAAACTTCCTTTAGGGAGACATTTCCAAATTTAATTGTGAATGAAAGTTAAAAACTCTCTTTGCTTTGTTTCAAAATGCTTTTCAAAAAGTGAGCGAGGTTGCCATCTAGTGACTATTTTCTGGTTTTCCATTTTAAAAGCTCTTTAATACGGGTTCTTATGGCAGTGTTGCTGAAACCTGGCTGTGTATTAGTGTCACCTGGAAGTTTCCTAAAATGCAGAATACTAGGACCCACCAAAGAATCGGAATCTTTGAGAATGAGCTCCAGGGTTGTGCTTTCTGATAAAGATCTTCAGATGACTCCACTGGACCTAGCCTGTCACCAGTGTTTGGAATTAACTGCCCTGGGGCATATTGTGTGCAGGTGGAAGTGTCACAGAGGCAAATTTATGTAAAGTGCAATATTCACTTACTTGCTCTAAGAACCTACTTGCTCAGGTATATGAAACTTGATGTTGCATCTTTGTATCTCATATTTAAAATAGACTTGGTAATGCTAAAAATTTACCCTACTGTTGTACACAAAGATACATGACCAGTGATGTTTATTGTAACACTGTTTGAATAGTGATTAGCTAAAAATCATTTAAATGCCTATCAATAGGGATGTGGCTAAAAAAATGACAGTAAATCAAAGCAGCAAATTTTATGCAGCCATTTAAAAAGAATGGTTAAGCATCATATACAATTTTTATTTGTCAATCATACCTCAGTAAAGCTGAAAAAACACAAGAGTTTATAATAGAGACAAACTGGGAAAATGCTAAATATTCTTCAATAGTAGACTGAACAAACTGTGGTAAATGTATATAATAAAATTTAAAAATGATTTAAAAATATTTGGTAATGTGATAAAAGAGCAAATTAAGATAGCAGAAAAGAACACTAAAAGAATATAATGTTTTCTTAGAATATATGTCAGTATATAGTTAGAAAAAGAACTGGGAGGAAAAATGTGATGAAAGTGTAATTTTTTTTTATATTTTCTTTTTTTGTAATTTTATATAATGGGTTTTTCATTTCTCTCATAATCAGAAAACTAAAAACATTATTTTGAGAGAGAAAGATATGTGAATTGATTCAAAGCTTACTGTCACATGCTTTTAGTAAGTGTTAGATGAACAGGCCAGAGTAAGCTGAAATGAGGAAGCCAAAAGACCAGGTTGGAGACTCGTTTCTCTTGGCTACCGGTAGGCTCAGATGCTGGGGGGCTTTCACACTTGTACGTCCCTTCTTTATTCATCTGGCCCTGATGAATAACATGATGGTGCAACTGAGGGGCTCTTCCCTGGAAGGGCCTTTCATCAACCCGGATCTCTGTGGAAGACAGAGCACCAACACTGAACCAAGACAGAGGCAGATTTTGTAGAACACTAGAAATTTATGGATCACTGCTTTAAAATTCTACTAACTAAAGATTCTATTAATAGGGAATGCTCTTCTAGAACTCACACTTTTTTTTTTTTTTATTATACTTTAAGTTTTAGGGTACATGTGCACATTGTGCAGGTTAGTTACATATGTATACATGTGCCATGCTGGTGCGCTGCACCCACTAACTCGTCATCTAGCATTAGGTATATCTCCCAATGCTATCCCTCTCCCCTCCCCCCACCCCACCACAGTCCCCAGAGTGTGATGTTCCCCTTCCTGTGTCCATGTGATCTCATTGTAGAACTCACACTTTTGCGCAACATAAGGCAGCAAGCTTAGTCTCGAATCAGCATACTGTGACTTTTGCGCCCTTGTACTTTCAACTTTTGCTCCTTCTGTTCCTACTTTGTTTCCTTGTCACACTTTCTGTTCTGTCTTTTACAGAGACACATAAACTTTGAATGGTTGTGATCATATCCTGTTAGGATGACCGGTTTGTACGTGACCGATGGCACACTACGGCTCTACAATCACCAGATTATTTTCCACAGAGTAGTGAGTTGGGGAAGTCACGTATATGCACTGTGAATAGTTTCTGTTTTGCAAGAGCCTGTGTAAAGGTCCATTTTTAAATGCTGTCCTGTACATTCACTTGATTAATTAATTAATATTTATTTATTTATTTGAGACAAAGTCTCACTCTGTCACCCAGGCTGGAGTGCAGTGGCACGATCTTGGCTCACTGCAGCCTCCACCTCCCAGGTTCAAGCAATTCTTGTGCCTCAGCCTCCTAAGTAGCTGGCATTATAGGCCTGTGCCACTAGGCCTGACTAATTTTTGTATTTTTCATAGGGATGGGGTTTCACTGTGTTGCCTAGGCTTGTCTCGAACTTCTGACCTCAGGTGATCTGCCCCACCTTGGCCTCCTAAAGTGCTGGGATTACAGGCTTGTGCCACCAGTCCCAGCCTTGTACGTTCACTTTAAATGATATTTTTATTATTTGTTGATATAAGATAATCCACAAAGACAAGCTATTTTTCATCATAAACTGAAACATTCCTGCAATGGTAGGTTAATACAGGGGAAGTTCTGGACTAGCTATAGATTTGTGGGAGACCCAGGTGACTGATTTGAAGGTCACTGGGAAAGACATCCATATTAGTGATTTCAAACTTTGACTTGCATTAAAATCATTTGAGGGACCTGTTAAAAAAGGAAATCCCTGGACCCCGTTCATGGCCTTATATCACAAATATTACTCCATTCACTTATTAATGCAATGTGTCTAAGATCTGCCCCAGCTGGCCTGCTCAGAATTACCTCTTTGCTAAATAGACAACTTTCTTTCTTCACATAGTATTATGTTGGTGCAAAAGTGATGACTGTTTTTGCCATTAAAAGTAATGGCAATTACTTTTGAGCCAACCTAATACTTCTATCTTCCTGATGCTGTTTTAAGTAAAAATTATTTAAGATTGTTTGACTTCTATTATTAATCTGTTAACCTAACAATTATAAAAATCTACTTAAAATTCAAATCTAGCAAGAGTCACTTCTAAACAGGGAGTGTCTGTGTTACACTAAACCATATGCCTACAAATTGATAAAGTATTATTCGTTTAATGAAACAGATCCTCTTGTTCTTATTCTCGAAAGTCTAAACCATAGCTTCAGGTAGATTTTCTTGCAGCTTTTGCGTGAGTCCACTCATTGTTTTTGACATTATTCTCATTTGGATTTCTGGATTTGGATTGTATCGGTGTTTTGTTCTCTTTTCTTTCCAGACTTCCTCATTAAATTTTTTCTAACCATTTATCTGCCCCTTTCTCTTTCAGCCCCCAATTCCTATCTTCCTGACATGCATTCAGACTCATCTATTTCTTCTCCTTTTCCTTTGGGCCGTCTAATACCATATTTTAATGCCTGTGACTGTAAGTATCATTCTCTTGAATAGCAGAGTTTACCTTCTCATACAGAAGTTGTTTTTGAAAGGGACTTCTGTAAAAGCATCATAATGTCTTTGAAACTTACGCTGTCTTGAGCTCCTGCTTAGTTAAAGGCAGGCCCTAAAGACAGAGTGAGGAGATAACACAATGTTTATTCTAGACCGCAGAGAAAGTCTGTTGAGCAACTTCCTCCTGGCTGGTCTTCTTCCTTCCAACTCCCCTGAACCCTACCTTGCTTACCACTCCTTCCCCATCCACTGGTTGGGGAGAGCTATCTTAAGCTCTAAACTACACATGGGATCACTTAAGGTCGCCACTGTGAAGCTCTTATGTACTAGTGAGGCTTATTGTCTGCAGCCTCTCTACATGTGTAATACGTTGGGTAAAATAGATTTTACTATCTCCTGGCTCTTCCCTTCAGCTAGAGTTCATCTTCTCAGAACTCCTGTCTCACTTTACTTATATTTCTATTATTTAACACATTCTGCCTTGTATCTTTCGTATGACTTTCTCCCTACTTACTTATAGTTTTGATAAAGACCAAGAGCATCTCTTCTTTTGATCTCCAAAGAATTTTGTAAAAGATGGTCGTTCAATAAATACTTTTCAACTGAGCTAAATGTTATTTCAGACAAGGTCAGATATGTTACCCTGACTGGTAGACGCGCCAAGAACAGATTAATTAGTATTGTAAAATCAAGGTAAATATTTACAAGCAGAGAAGTCCAGGAAGGTGAGGTTTGAGGGAGTACCAGGGCTGCACGTAAATAACAGAACCGGAGCCTGCTCGCAGACTGGTACAGTGACCTTTTCTTTTTGAGCACAAGGTGGCAGGCTAGGTCAATTTCCATCGTCTCTTATAAGGCAGCTACGTGAGGCTGAAGTTTTTTGCCCAATTTCAGAAACAGATATCTATTTTTTTTTTAACTGAGATTAGCGCAGCCTGATGGCTAAAACATGGTTTTGGATAAGGCATGGGCCTCACTCTTGACTACTGACTGTCCTTGTGGATCTCTGGTCCTTTGTGTTTGGACTAATTCCTCCACGTCTGCATCAAATAGCAATGCATTGTGGATGCCAACACACTTCTAGTTTCTGTTAACTGGATGAAAAAAATATGAACATTGTCAGTGTTTTGAAGAAATATCCATGAACACTGAAGCTTAGAGAGAGGAAACAAAATCGGACCAGAGAATTGAAATACGCAGTTTCTCCACTAGATAGCAGACTACGACAGGTGACTTTTGGAAGGGTCCATCTGTATTTACCCAAAGAAAGCATCCGTTTTTCTCCATCAGTTCATATTTTTCTTTTACCACGACAAGTGTTTTTATGTGATCAGACCATTCGCATGTAAAGCTCTGATATAAACCTGAAATATAAGTAGCAGTTTGATTTCAATTTATTAATCTGCAATTTAAATTCTGATAGAGTTTTTTTTTTACTTCATTAATTGCCTCCAGTTTTTTTTCCCCCAAATTGTCTTTTATTTTTTAAAAAGCAAATTACTAGGAATAGTTTATTCTGGAATTCTGATGGTAACATTGGGTGATATGTTCAGTCTTTCCCTTGATTCTGACCTGTTATTTCCAGAAGATAGGGAACAAATGAGGGAAAAAAAGATTCCTTGTTTTTAGATTCTACTTTGTATTCTTTCAAGTTTCTCTCTCTCTCTCTGTGTGTGTGCACTCATGAACACACATATACTCACACATATTCATATTATGTGGATGAATATACACACGATCTATGTACACGTGTGTATACATATATGTCTATATATACACACAGTCATATATGTATGTGTATATTATGTACATTTATCTTTGCAATATATGGCAGTTTAGTGATTGTTTAAGAGTAAAGACTCTGGAACCAGACTCCTTGGGTATAAATCCTAGCTAACTAGCAAATACTTACAGATCTGTGTCTGTTTCTTCATCTGTAAAATGGGGGTAATAATGGTACCCGTATTATAGAGTAGCTGTATAGATAAAAGGACTTCACAGAGCATGGCTCATGGTAACTAAGCAAATCATGTTAGCCATTACTATTTGTGTATGTTGAGAGTCTGATTTATTCAATAGCTTATATTGCCACTTTCATTTAGTAAATGAAGCACCCTCTATCTACCCAATGTGGGAGTTTAGATTTTTTGAAGGTGCCATAACATATTGACATTGACTTGACTTTGCTACATACATTATTCAACTTAATAATCTAGGTGCTGTCCGGAATGTCTCAGTCATGATTTCTGTTGTTTGGGAACTTACGTGTTAAAGAGAAAATGTGTGCACTTTTCTTTCTCTATTCTCTACCTCTTTCTTTTCTTCTCTTGACCTTCCTCATTTGGAGGAATGTCAAGAATGGAGAGGTATATCAATTACAAATTCAATTCACCTACCAATAACAGCAGCAACAAAAATTCCAAATAGTCGCTTAAAAAGAGCATTCTTTTTCTCATAGGACAAAGATTCTGGAGGCAGGAAGCTGATGATGGAGCTGGTTCAGTGGCTCCTCTAGGATTATTTTGTCCTTTCCTTCATAGCCACAACATGACTGCTCCTCCAGGCATCAGGTTCATGTCAAGCCAAGAAAAGGGCAAGAAAGGAGAAAGGGTGGTATACCGGCTATATAAATTCTTCTTATCAGGAGGGGCAAAAACTTTCCAGAGCTCTTCCCCCTTCCCTAACCGAGACTTAGGGCTAGTTTCCAGAACAGTGTCACAAAGCCAAAAAACCTCTACACTGAAAGACAAGAGAAAGAAATATTCTGGAAATGACTTGGGATCAGCCAGTGAATGATATTTCTCAAATTAAGTTTTTGTCTTGGCTTTGCATTTGTGTTTCTCCTCAAATTCTCCCTCTTGCCCTCCCTCTACCCTACAGTCCTCTTTGTCTGGAAGGAGGTAGAACCAAGAAAAATGATAACATGGAGATTTGTTTCAGGAGCTAATATTTGTCGTAGAATATGTGCAACATGTGCAACAGAGGAAAGAGTGGAAGAAGGTAGGAAGTAGGATCTCTATCAGCACAGAGGGAAGTCAGAGGGGAAAGGAAAGGCTGGCTCAAGCAGAGAGGGTGGAGGAGCACAGCTGAGATTTCCCCAGTGGATCAATTTCATAGGCACTCCCTGTGCTGGAGGCAGAACTAAGCTTCTTGCCTCTGAAATGAAGCACCACAGACAACAGAGTTTCTTATAGATTACTTAATACAAATTATCATCGAGAGATATTGTTTATTTTCATGTCTACAGAGCAAACAACATAGAAGGCATTTGTGACATTCACCAACTATTTTTAAATGACACCTACTCAAATGTTACCTATTTCATAGATCTGTAATGATTTTTTTTTGCTTAAAAACATTATAGCCTTTAATAGAATTTTATACTGTGACTATTAAGATAGCAAAAATTCCCCCAAGGAGACCAGGATTCTTGGCTCACTCAGTTCTTCACTCTATCCTCTCTTCACCTGGTCAGCTGTCAGGTGGCTCTCCTCTACATCAACTCACAGGTGACGAGGTCTTCAGACTGTCACCCCGCTGGGAACTCCTGGTGGACTAGTCACCATCGCTCTCACTTGAACTGCCACTGTCAGATGACTCACTACTGTCATCCCTTCTACGGGAACTAAACCTCCTGTTGGAATGGGGTTGTCTACCCCAGGAGCCTTTCCCTTGTGGCATACCCTTATTCCGTGTAGAATTATTTTGTCTGTGGGGTACATAATGATATTTTCTGCCATGTGTTATTATATTCTCATGACTGGGGCCATTAAAGGAATCCATTTCGTTTTTGATTTCATTATCAAGACCACGAGAAGGAATGGGCAGGCCCTGACTTTTGCCCTTACTAGGAAACCTTTGTTTTTCATTTAAGGTTGCTTGGTTCCTATTAGAATGATCTACACCCTTTCTGGTACTGCCTTTGCCATTTTTAGGAATTTCATTATAGTTGGTACTTTCAGCTGCATCACTACTGCCTTCTTTTCTTTTCTCTTTTGAGGGTGCAGGAGGGTAATGAAACTCAACCTTCCCTTGGTGAGCATTTTGGCTGCCAGCATCCACTCTGTTTCCTTCTCTTCCAGGGAGCTCCTTAAAATTGGTACTACCCATGATATCGTTGCTGCCCTCTACAAGGCTGACATCAACAGCATCTGCCTCTTTCGCAGTTTCATCCCTAGTTCCAATGGTATTTCCACCATTTTCTTCTCTCTCTGGGATCTCATTATAACCTGGCTTTTTTGTGTCAAGATGAGTACTCTCAGCTTCACTTGGGCCTGCAAACCCTGTTTGAATATCTTTGCCTTCTAGGTCAGGACCAGTAGCTTCTCCTTTACCAGGAATGTCCTTAAAAGGTTGGCCGTCCCCACTGAAAGGAGATATATCATTGTCCCCTCTCTCTTGAAGATCTGTATAACCGCTGCCTTCAAAATCACTGGGGATTTTTTTGACTTTTGAGAGATGTTTTAGGTAGTCAATGTTGTGTTGAATACGATGGGTGCTTTTGCTTTTTACTGGACTTTTCTGGGCTTGGGAATCTCTTTGAGGCTTCTTTTTATCCTTCGAGTGTGCTTTAGCATAATTCATACTTGCTGGGATTATGTTTAGAACATTCCTAGGTGTGTTCTCTTTGTTTTCTTCCCCCAGGAGTTTAATCGCAGTCACTGGCCCCATTATATGTTGCATGTTATTTCTGATGAGAGCTGCGCCATATTCTTCTTGGTCATGTAGTTTGCTGATAGCATCATCTCCATCCTCAAACCCTTTATTCCCAGTTGACTTAGGATAAATTGACATCCTCAGGCCATTGTGAGTATTCTCTTTGTTACTGATACTATATTCTTTATTCAGTCTCTGTCTATTTGTGAAATAATTTTGAGATTTACTACTTCCCTTATTCTCACTGGCTTCAGAAAGGGACAAATCTTTCTTTCTTTCCTGGACAATATTTTCTTTAGATGATAGCTCTTGATTTATTCTCTTGCCCAAATGGTGAAAACCAATATTGTCTTTGTTTTTTTCTTCCTGCTAAAATACAATTTTCAATATGAAGTGATTATTTTATGTAAAATTTTTAAAATATAATAATTCTTAGGCAATATAAAAACCATCCACCAGATATTTAATAAAAAGGATCTATTAACTCAATAGAGGTTTACTGGTAGAGGTCATTCTAGAATGGTCAAATCAGGTTTCATGGAGAAAGAAGAATGAACTAGGCTTGAAAAATGGGTACTATTCAAATATGCAGAAGGGAAATTGTGAGAATATTTTAAGAATAAGCGGCATATTCAATTGTTTGGAAACAGGACACAATTGAGACATAATATGAATAAACCTACATAGTGGGAATAGTGAGTCATTGCAAGTAAAATGGATTTCATATATTAAAATTAGTTCTCTCTCTCTCTCTCTCTCTTTCTCTTTTCTCCCTTCATTCTGATCATCAGAGGTATTCATCTGCCTAAAGGAGTATTTTCTTTTTCTTTCCTTTCTTTCTTGCTTCTTTTTAAACAGAAAATCTGCAAATAGAAGAATCTTCTGACATTTAAAAGTCCCTGGGAGAATAATGGGATGAAAAAGAGAAAGCAGAGGAGGAGAGTAAAGTATTTATATCTATATTTGAATTCATTCTTTTATTTTGGTGGGGGAAGGGGCAGGATCTGTAAATATGCTGCTTCATATCCTGGGTTTTATCACTCTTGGGTGCAGCCAACTTTCAGTAAGCTTGGCAGAACAATGTGGTCAGGAAGAAAGAGCTGAGATTGACTATACCGTATGCCACTCGCTATTTCTCTGTAGCATAGACTAAATATAGAAGTGTCTGAGCATCTGGTCTGGAGGTTTCCAGAGAGTGTTGCCATAGAGGAAGTGAAGTGGCTCTAAAAGGAGCAGTGTAGATGGAGTACATACTAGGGACAAATGTGAGTCATACTCAAACAGGGAGAAGTCTAAATTGCCCATGGGAGCTAAGAGAGGCTGAGTCACTATGGCCCTAGTCAAGACTATACTAAGTGAATCCTAAGCTATGGTAGCCGACAACTTCATTTTAGAATGAAGCAGGGCAAGAAGCATTCAAGTGGTTAGGCAACATTATCCCATGCATGTCTGAAGATTCCAAGTCTTCCTCTTCACTATGGTGTAAGCCATGTTTGTCCATTTGGTGCATGGTATGTAGTGGACGGTGTAAGCCACACCTGGATGCCATATTAGAGGGAGAAGGAGGGGGAGTGAGGATCTGAGCATTTTTAACTAAAAGAGACTGATTTATTTAAATAACTATTTTAGCTATTAGATAACCTTAAGTTTAAACAGATTGAATTTAATTTCTGCACATTCCCTTGCCCCTCCATGAGGAGCTCTTGAGCAACAGAACAATTATAGACAGACTAAATGTCATTTTTTCTTTTCACCCCCAAATTGTAGGATGAGCTGGAATATACAACATCCCTACATAGGCCTTTGAATTGATGAGTAATATGAAATCAACATAGGAGATATTTATTGAGAGATTGGAACATGGAAGAAATTAGGGTGGGTGCTGCATGTTCTAAGCAATATCTGGTGATATTTATTGGCAAAGGCAGTGATCCTGAGGGGTATGGAGGGTGGGGGAAGGTCTGTGAGGCAGAGACATCATATCCAATTAGGTCTGCACAGACAAACAGAGTGCCGGAGACTTGTAGAAGATGGAATGCCAGGGTGAAGAATTTGGTTTTATTTTGTAGAGTATGAAGAGCTAGTGAAAGTTCACAGGAGATTAACAAAATAAAAATTAAGGATTTAGGAGGAACAGTGGTAAGAAAGAACATGTAGGAGGCTTTTGCAGTATCCAGTAATGAGATGTAATCACTTGGATTAGGATTACGCCAAAGAAAAACATTACAAAGAAAAAAACCCCTTCTTCTGGTGCCCAAGCAAAAAGCCTTAATAACTAAAATGGACTGGAATGTTAACATGTAAAAATGAAGATAGGGTGAAAAAGACAAGGGCTTTAATGTTAGACATATTGATGTTAAGGGAATATAGAACCTGAGCTCAGAAAGCAATATACAGTTAGAGATAGAGAATTGGGTATCACAGGCTCTTAGTGTGTCCCAGTACAAGTCCTTCCCAGTTTTCATAGCCCATGGTCAACTCTTCTTTCCTTGAACATCTTACATGCTAATTGTTTATTACTTTTCAGATCCTATTGTTTCACTTATACATAGTTGTAATATTTTCAATAATTTTTAACCTGAAACTAGTATCCATTTTTCCTGATGCAACACCTAATAAGGTTATTTCCTCTTTCCTATGAAACCCTCCCAACATTTGAAAAAGTTTAGTGTTCCTTCGAACTCGCTGGCTGCTTTCTCTTCTCCAGGTTGACACTACAGTTCTCTTGTGTTAGGTGACTATGTTCAGACCCATCACCTGATTATGAATTCCCTTTTGTTTGTGGGGTTCCAAATCAGACCTTGACTCTGATGTGGCCTGATCGACCCCAAGCACGGGGCATCCATCCACTTCCTTGCCTTGACCACAGCCCTATTTTTACTAATACAACTTAATTTTGTGCTTTTTGACAACCACTTCAATTTGTTGGCTCTTGTCAAGCATGTGGACATCTTAGATGTGTTCATTAAAGATGTCAGAATACACGAGAGCTCCCTGATGGAGAGAAAAAGAGCATGCAGCCAGAAGCTCATAGTATTTGGTCAAGTGTGTAGGGAAGGTAGCAAAGAAAATAGAAAAACCAAACGCAGGGAAGCCAGGATCATAGGGAATATGTTGAGTGAAACAGTAGGCAGGAATTGCCAAATAGTTTTTCTTAATCCCTCAGTCCAGTACTCACGAGAGTAGCTGTGCTATGGAAAGAACACATGCATTAGAATCAGTTGTCTCACTGCCGTTTATGGGCTGTGTGATCTTGGGAGCATTATTTTACTTCTCTGAGCCTTAGCTTTTTTAGCTGTAAAATAAAAATGATATCTACCTTTCAGTATTTTGGGGAGAATTAAATGATTTTTATTAAATAATGCATGTAAAGCATACAGAACTGGGCATAGCCCTTTAATGAATGATAGTTTCTTTCCTAGATAATATTAATGATAGTCATGTAATTACTGGATACACAACGGTTTTCCCAGTCTCTGGACTTCTCTAATATTGGTTGTAGAGGCAGATGAAGATGGACAAACTCTGGACCCCCCTGCTCTTGAATTGCCCAAGTGTCATCCTCGGGCTGTGTGTTCTGTAAGCTTGTAGCCGTCGATGGGATGTTATCTGAAATAGATTTTGATTGGACTCTCTCTTTTTTTTCACTCCCAAACAGAAGTACTGTTCTGCTTGGAGGACTGTCTGCTTTTATATATGTATCTTATTAACTGTTGGAAGTAGGCGGAAATGTTGAATCAGCTCACATTTGAATCTAAAATAAAAATGGCTTTTAGAAGTGCCCTCTACTTTTAAGAAGCTAGCTAATATATGGTCTGCAAAAGTGCCAATGTATAATATTTGTAAAATATAATTTGAAATTACTTATTTGTAAAAGTTATGGCATTATTGTTCATTAATTTTTTAATATTGGTGGGTATATTCTGAAATACGATTTTGCCATAAGAAAAAAATAGAAATAAACTTTGTAGTATATCACTAAATAAAAAGTATTTTAAATATTTGACTTGAGTAATTGAGTCCTGGAAAGTTTTACTTGGACATTTATGTTTTCCTTTGCAATCAAGTTCATTGTTGTTTGTTTACTCATTACTAAGATAACCTTTTGAGTTAAACACTAAATCTAAACTCAGTAGATTATAATAATCTCTTCCTAATTTTTTCTCTCCCTTGTCTGAAGTGGGAAGTTATGTTTTATTTTCGGTGCTTCTCTGCTTTTAAAAAAGTAACATGTACACTAATGAATTGTGTGCATTTTATTAGAAGACTGAGTAGAATAATTTTATAAATGAAAACATGAAACAACTTTTATCCTGTGGTATATGATGGCTATCTTTGCATTGAAGAAAATATCAAAAAATAGAAAAAAACTTTTCTTACATTTGCTTGTGTTAAATGATTTCTGACTGTTCGATGGTTTATGTACCAGTTGGCTGGCTGCTTTTCTGTGCTCTGCTTTTCTGTCTCCATGCTTTGGTTCCTATGAGTTTTTTCATGGAGAACGGCCTCACCCATTCACTTCTGTTTGCTCAAATCCTACTCATCCTCCATGGCCCCACACAATTATTTCCATTATGAACACCAGAGGCCAGGAACTAATTTCTTTCTACTCCAAGCCCTTAAAGCATGATCTTTTTTTTCTTCTCGGTACTACTCACATAGCACCTCCCACATTCTGTCTTGTTTTACAATAATTTTTGTAAGTGCCTTTTGTTTCTTTTCTAACTCTAAGATCCTGGAGAGAAAGAATTTGTTTTCTCCATCATTTTATCTCACATAGTATCTTACACACCAGTTAAGAACTCCACATATATTTGGCAAATGGATATGTTTTAACTTATTTATAGTTAGGTGTAGTCTTAGAGATGTCATCTAAAGGATATCGATGGCAGAAGAAAATAACATTCTGAAGGGAAACTATTACTTCCATGGGAAATAAAACCAGATTTGGAAAAAGTAAATAGCCCTTTTGCTGATGGCATTTCAAGCTATTTCCAGCCCTTTGGCCGATGAATCTACAAGAAGGGACTGAGTGAAAAGAATTATTGTCATTGTAGTGACAAGGGCCTCATTCTTTTACTTCTGAGCAACCCAACACAGATGGAGTTATCCATAGAATGAATTTAAGAGACAGTAAAATGTGTCACTCATTAGGCCAAAATGGTTTTTCCTCTTAGCCGTCCCCTGCTGAGATCCCCACCATCAGAGCATATGGTAGAATATGTCAAGAAAACTTTCTTATAAAACACCAAATGTTACTCAGAAGCAGTAACACAGCAGTCCATGGGCACCTGAGGTCCATGAGTATCACACCTGCAGCCACAGGTCCTGAAGCAGAGCGAGATGTGGGCCGAGGCATGGGATGGGGATCAGGAAGATTCTGGGACCCAGAGTTTTGTAGTAGAGAGGCTTGAGGAGCCTGGGGAGGGAGGGAAGGGACAAAAGTGCCAGCCATAAGACAGAAACCCCAGAGCAAGCAAAAGTAAACTTTGCCTCCCCTACATTTTCCTCTAGGGCTAGTCCAGAGTTTAGTCATGCTGAGAATGGTCATTCAGAGATTCAGCTTACCTTTACATCAGTTTGATTTTTCTTCTCAGGTGACATGTAAACACACTTAAAAACATAATGCCCATGTTTCTCATAGTGACCCTTGTATGTTATCTACAAAAACACAACATTATATTGAGGCACGTTTTATCTCTTACAAAGAAGTTTTTGGGCTCTTTGTAATAATATAAGAAACTTTAAAAGTTGGGTGAAGTTGAATTCTACCTCTGACAAATGGTAGTACTTCTTATAACCACAGGAGGGTGTGTGTCAGCCGGCTCCCGAAGACAGCAACTTGTTCCTTCTCTTTTCTACATAACTCTAAATCTGTTTTCCCTAAGGGCCTGTCAACTGCTTTCTGTCCTAGGGTGGATCGATTTTATTACCAAACGTCTATGGAAATGGAGCATGTGGAAATATTTTCAGGTGGGAGGGGGTGAGAGGACCAGGAGAAAGACAGGATTTACAATATTCATGTCTGATGTCTAATTGGCAAAACTCACAGCATGAACATTCAGGCTCTTAAGCTGGCAACGTTGGCCTTTGTAATTTTCAGCTGAGATGAAGTACAGAAGATTGTTAGTTCTTAGAACATAATTTTCTGTGATAGGCAGAAGCAAGCTGCAATTTGGTGGCATGCAAAGCGGGGAGGATTCATTTAACTGGATGCATATGGAAAGCTGACTCCACGGACATAGAATTCCCCATTCAGATCTGATAGCCACCTTCCCCTTTACTCCCTTATTTATCATTCTGAGAGCAAAGTGTTTGTCAGGTACATGTGTGGGAAAATATTGTTTGCTAGTAGCAATGTTCCCAAATTCTTACTCACTTAGCCCCATGAAGGTTGCCTGGCAAAGCATTGTTTCATTTGAAGGAAGAAATCATACTGGGGAGAAATAAATCTCTATTCACAATGTTTTCCTCTTTTCTGTCACACATGGTGTGTGAGTTACAATACCTGATTGACTAGAAAGTGCCAACATTATGTTGTATATTTTTTCACTTCCATTCAAAGTGCCCAAGACTATTTTGACAGTTACACTTTTCTCTTACTGACTTTTTCTTTATAGAGCTGAAATAGAGTTATTTGAAAAGATGAATTCTGTTTACCCTCTGCTCTTCCACACAGCTTTGCTTAGTTTTCTCAGTCTGTGGTTGAAATGTCTGAAAGGAAACAAGAAACAAAACTTCACCCACTAGAACATTCTATTTCATTAACTTCTTCAAACAAATGTTTCATTTATTTTTCTCTCACTGAGTTGTATTATTCACTGTGGAAAATCATTCTAACCAAAAGAAGATTGACACACTCATCGCATTAATATAATATTTGTTTCAATATTACGAAAGACAGTGCCAGCTTTCTGCCCCCAGAGGGAGACAGTGCCGTCTCCACTACAGAACTGGATTCAAGCTCAGACAACCGCTAAGTGGGTGTGGTGGGGGAGTAGGGAGGGATGGCACCCCAGACGAAGGAGCTTGGCTGCCATCAGAATCCACTGAAAAAGAAGTTTTCACTGGCAAACTGGGAGTTGTTAAATATAAGTGAACTAAAATCAGAGTTTGACGATTTAAATTGTGTGTGTGCATTAATTATATAAGTTGAGTAACTGTAATATTGAATTAAGATATGATGCTGCTGATGGCCCAGGGAGAGTCAAACCATAGCCGTTCATGTGAATGGTAGGATCGCAATTAAGGACAAAAACTTATTGCTGCCAGATGTTACATTCTGAGAAGGAAAAATGGAGGTGGCCAGCAGATTAGGATAAATTCTGTTTCTTGGTTTGACATAAAGTGTCAAAATTTCTTGAGGGTAGCGTAGGGTGAGGGGTAGCTATTGAAGCGCAGAAAGGGCAGAAATGAAGAAAGAACAGACCTCGGCAGTTTGTCCCAGTCCTTTGGGCTGAAGTTTGCATACCACAGGAAAGCACACAGAACAGGGACCCTAAAATCTGAGAGCAACTGTTTTATTAAAGGAATAGATGTAAGTTCTTTAATTCTCAGTATTTTTCATTTACCTCTTTCTTTCAGAAACTCCTAGCCTATCTCAGATGTGGCACTGGGAACCAATGGGCGGACTGGGCCGTGTTTGAATGGGTGTGCTACAGTGGAAGCAGGCATCATGGTGGATCAATCATATAAAAGAGAGAACCCCTTAAGGGAAAGATTGAATAAAGAGATAAACAGAAAGAGGGCCGCCTAGGCCAGCTGTCCTATTTACCTGGAAAGTGTTCTTCCTGAAGAAGCCTTAAGCTTCTATATTTTGTTTAATACAGACAGGTTGTTGCTTGCACTAAGATATTGGGAATGCCCCTGCTTGCTCTCAGCTCCTTTGTATCTCCAGCTCAATCTGAACTGATTCCTTCATTTCCCAAGCTCATTTGCCCTCTGTGTTCAGACTGGGTTTGGGTGAAGGAGGCCTGGCATGAGTCTGGAGGGGGGGAAGGAGAGAGAAGCCAGGGTATGTCCTTCTCTACTCTCCGTGTTTGGGGCTGCATCTCTAGAGTTGGGTACATCTCCTTTGTGGTCCTAGTTCCCCCAGCCAGGGGCCTAGGAGCAGCACCTTTTTTTTTCCTTCCAGCCCTAAGCCTGGTAATAGCTTCGATCCTTGGGTGGTCTCACCACCCCTGGTTGGCTTTTCTGTTCTTCCTTATACTTTATAGCTAGCTTCCCTTAGAAAGTCGCTCTACTGAGCTCCCTGTAGTGGATTTTGTTTTCTGGACTGGACTCTGGCAGATAAAATCATCTTCAAAATATAAAACTCAGAAGTTTAGAAAGCACCTCCATGGCTGGACTCCAAGGCATAGCTGCCTAATATTCAATTCCATTCTAGAAAATAACAATAGTTTATCAATAACACCTTCTATTTATAGGACTCTTTATAGTTTGTAAACTGCTTTTGTACTTATAATCTCATATGAGTCCCAAAGTAACCTTTATAAGATGAGCAGTAGAAGAAACAGAAGTGCCTACACTCATAGTTGGTAGTTGCAGTAGAAGTAGAGAAGATATTTTAATTTAAATCTTCTGCCTCAAAGTCCCAGGGTTAAAATAATAAATTTTTGAATGATTAAATATGAAAAAGCATTTAGTAATAAGAGGAAATGTTCCTAAACTTTATATTAATTATCGTCAAGGCATCTTTTATAGTTTTATCCTTTATTGCATTTCTTATGTTGATTCTTATATGATCATGTGAATATAAATTTGGACAATTATATCACTCTTCAAAAATATAAAACCAGGGCAAACAGTTCTGGAAATTGGACTATAGGAAGAAGAAAGCATAAAAATGAGATGGGCAGATATTAAGCAAAAGAAAGAAATGATAGTATGGGGTGTCAGGGATCTTCTTACAGAACACACACACACACACACATATGGATTAGAAACATACTTGACAATATAGAGTACCTCGGTACAGTTTTGATTTATTGTGACTTATAACAAAGTCTTTCTAGTCTAACTGCATCTTGATGAATATTAACCGAATTGCATAGCCTAATAAACATTCATTTTCTTCCTTTTAAAAATCATTTAGAATTTGGCTTATAATTCTAAGACGTATGCAAGTGGCTGAGTATATACTAATTTCTTAAGCCACCAATCTATCATTTAAAAATTCAGGTAATTACTAAAATGGCATCTATATACCTGGAAGAAAACATCATATTTAATGATTCACAGTTACAAATGTTGCCTCTGCATCCTTGCTGAGCTGCTTTCATTTGAAATACGCATCCCTCCCTTGTCCCCTCTATACCCCCAAGCAGATGTCTTAGGCTTGAATGTGGCCCTGTAATGGAGATGGCATTGTCTGCCTCTGGGCAGGAAAGCTGGCATCCTCTTCTGATCAGTGGTCACTGAATCAATGTTGACATAGCACATTTACTGGAAAATGATGAGAAAGCCCCACTCCAGCTGCTTCTTGGAACATGTTGCTCAAAATAAAATCTTCAGCTGGCCAACTTGAGCTAGGTCAGCAAGACTCATTTTTCCACCGTGAGAGGTGGGAGAGGCACCTGAGCCTCTAGGCCTTGATTGAGTGAGGTCTGTGCATGGGGTCTCGCAAATGTGTGTTGTGAGCAGTACAGCCTCCACAGTACTGTACTGCACACCCTTGTTGCACAGAGTGTGTGCGGAGAAGGGAACACATTTCCCCAACTTCCACTGCCCTCCATGAGGCCCTCTGCTTCCCTGGTCATCCTCATCAGCCTGGTTACCCTAGCAGTCACCCACTCACTCAGGACCTATATATAAGTATGATTGGCAATGGGATGACTATTTGTTTCCATGGTTCTCCAACCAAAAAGGTTATTCTGATAAGTTAGGATGCTGCTCAGACATTATCTAATTAGCACTGTGTCTGCATTGCAGAAAATAACTAACACTCAGCATTTTCACAAGATAATTTGGTCACATCCTGAATATTCAACTGGGTGAGTCAGAGGGAAGAAAAGACACACAAGGAAGTAGGAGCTTGATTTGGGTTAAGCTTGGAGGTACTACGTCCCACCTCTAGCCTCGCTGATGAAGAGAAAATCACAAGTAGGATCCCACAGTATTGGGGTGTTGCAAGAAATACAGAAGAGTTCTTGTCTCTTTGCATTTTTATCTATTTACTAAATCTAGCTGGTTAGCTTTAAAACATTCATGTCAAATTCTTTAAGTTTACAGGAAAATAGTCAAAGATTATTTTACCATGTTATAATTTGAGTCTTTGAGTATCACTCATTAGTATCAGCTGATTTGAAATGCTGCGGCTGCCTCTTGGTTTTCTCAAAAAATCTGTTTTTGGTGTTCCTTAAAAGACAATGTTGTCAGATCTCATAATTCAGCACATGTTTATTGAGAACCTCCTTTGTTAAGAGTGTTAAGTGCTAGATGCTTTCTGTTTGCTTGGTTCTTTTTAAAATAACTGAATTAGGTAGATGCTACTAATTTAAATAGACGTTGCTTGAAAGAAAAACAAATGAAGAGAGCAAGAGATTATCTGAAATATAATTGAATTTGTAAATACTTACTGGTGCTGCCCAGGTCACACTGAAAAGGAGTAGTCCCACACAGAAAACTCGCATCTTTGAGAATCTCTGTAAAAAGACAACAATATCTTACCACAAAGCATTGCCAGTTATAAACTGCAGCCATAAGAAGAGATAAAACACATAGGAATATATAAACACCCTTCCCCTTGGCAGTTCATATCCTTTTGTGTATGTGTGTGTATAGACTATGTATAACTTGCTTATACCCGAGTGTGGACATTTTAAGAACTTTCATATGTCTAGTTATTCCAATGTGAAAATGAAAATTATTCAATATCATTAAAACAGTAAAGTCAGTTGATAGAAATATATTTTATAGACACATTTATTTGCTCTATCATCAGCTCTTCTTCCTCTTGTCTTTAGAAAGAGATTGTTTAATTATTTGTGTAATTCAAAATGACATTAAGTTGATGTAGCAGCTCATAACACACTCTAAGTTTGTCAGGGTAGCAGATTGCACTGTGAGGAAAGCTTATCTGCCTCCGGGCTGGTGCCCTAATCTGTGTCTCATGTTCATTAGCAATGTGTCTGAATTAGTAGCCATCCATGGGCTGGAGAGTGAACTAATTTTTGCAACACTGACATTAATGGCTAACATTTATTGAATACTAAAATGAGCCAAGCACTGGGTCTAAGAATTTTGCATGCATTCAATTATTTGAGCCTCACAACAACCCTACAAGTTAGGCGGCGTTACTATGCCTGTTGTATAGATTAGGAAATAGACACAAAAAGATCAAATAACTTGCTTTAGAATTCACAAATATTAAGGGGCAGAACTGGGATTAGTATCCAGGCAATGTGGCTCTAGACCCAGTTTTCTTCATCAAGACTCTCTGCCACCTTAAATAACTTTCTATTCTTTTATCTTATTACAGAAAAATCCATGTACAGTTGACTTAAAGGCAAATCATATTTTATATTGGGCTCAACAAAATGATGTTCAAAATACTAACATTTAGTTACAAATAAAGGTATTTGTTTATATTTTGGTAAATATACCAACAGGAACTAGTGAGCTCACTTAAGTAGCCATTAGATTGGAAAAAAGTCAACATGTCTTTGGACTATTGATCTTATTATTATATTGTGAAAACAATAAATTTATGCCACTCTGAGATTTCTTGAAGAAAAACTTGTTTTTATGGGAAAAAATAATCTAAATATTCTTGCAATCTTTAAACACCTCAAGGAAAAGCTGGTATTTGGAGAAATGATTGTAACTATTAAATATATTCTAAAATCCTAGGCTATGTTTTTCTAAATTAATGCAATTAGAAGGATCTAAATTCTAACTATAGTTTACCCTTCCAAGCATTTTATAGATCAGGACAACGTAAGTAACTTATGAAATGAGTTAATGCTCATCAGTAGAAATATCAACACAGATGAGGTTTCAAAGTATGAATAAGATCAGATTTTCCTGATTGCAGTTTGTTAAGTGAAGGGATAGAAGAAAACTGAAGTCTGAGTTACTGTGGATCTTGATAATGCTAATAACAAAAAAAAAGAGAAAGTTGCTATCAAATCATCAATTTTAGTTGATGATTTCTAGAGCATGGTAACGCATTTCCTATTTTATAAAACAAAGCACCAAATATTACACAGTTTTGCTCAGTAGAGAAGATTTTCAAAAGTAATAAAACCATACTTGGGTGGCAAGCATCTTAAAAACGTAAACAACTATGATATAAAGCTATTTGCTGTCAAGAACATGAAAGCCAAATTACCTGGTATCTTTCACCTTCAGAATACCTGGCTTCTTGTTGCAGGATTAGAAGTCTCTGGGCATTTTGCTGAAATTTAAAGTTTGTTAGAGTTCCCAATGGCCAATCAGCACTGGCTCACTCAGCGCTAGCAAACAATTTGTTACAAGCGCCCACAGATAACCATAGGGGGTGAAGTAATTTTAATCTAAAAATGTGTTTGTGGTAGAAAGCTACTATCAAATGTTCCAGAAAGTGGGATAAACAGAAAATATAAATACCTCAGTTTGGACATCATGTTGTCAGATAATCAAAATTGATTTCAGAACTGCTAATTAGGACTGACTGAATACCTAACAAGTTTAGAAATGGAAAACATTTTTGCTATCCTTTTATGTAGAAAGTTTATGATGTCAATTTTATCTAAGTGAAATTCAGCAACATTTAACAAAAATGTTTTAGGTGCCTACTGTGTGACAGGCATTGGCGAAACTGCAGTGAACAAAACAAGACAGAAAAAAATCCCTGTCTTCCTGGAGCTTAGAATCCAATAAGGGAGACAGATAATAAACAAGATAAATGAGTTAAATAGATTAGATAGTGACATATACTAAGTCTAAGGAGAAAAAGTATTGTTGGGGAGTAACAAGCATTGGGGGTGGGGACACTGGGTTGAAATTTTAGATAGGAAGTCCTGGGAAGGCCTCAATGAGAAGGCAACTTTTGAGTAAAGACCTTGTTATGGTTTCAATGTACGTGTCCCTCCAAAATTCCCATGTTAGAACTTAAACCCAAGGTGACAGTATTGAGAGATGGGCTCTTTAGAAGGTGATTAAGTCATGAAGGCAGACCCCAGTATGAATGGGATTAATGACCTTATAAAAGGGCAAGAAGAAACTAGCTAGTCCCTTTTTGCCCTTCTGCTTGTCTGCAGTGTGAAGACACAGCATTTGTCCCCTCTGGAGATGCAGTAGCAAGGTGCCAAATTGGAAGAAGAGATAGACAGCCCTCGTCAGGCAATGAACATGCTGGCCTCTTCATTGCGGAATTCCCAGCCTCCAGAACTGTGTGAAATAAATTTCTGTTTTTTATAAATTACCCAGTCTGTGGTATTCTGTAGTAGCAGCATGAACAGACTCAGATAAGCCTGCAGCCATATGACTGTCTATGGGAAGACCATTCCAGGAAGAAGAAATAAGAAAAATAGTGCCCCAGAAATAAAAGCCTTGTGACTTGTTCCAGGAACAGAGAAGAGGCCACTTTGGTTGGAGGCCTGAGCAAGGGGAATAGCAACAAATGAGGTCAGAAGGGTATTAGATGGCAGATGGTATAGGACCTGTAGGTCATTGCAATGCTTTTGACATTGCTATGAGTGAGAAGAAAAGTCCTTGGAGGTTTTAAGCACAGGCATGATTGAGGAGTGACTGAAGTAGGAAAAAGGCAGAGAGAATGGCTAGGAAGCTCTTGTAATAATCCCAGCCAGAGATGATGGAGGCTTGAACCTGAGTGCGGCAGAAGGGATGATGAGACGTGGTCATATTCTGAAGAAGTTTGGGGAAAAATGGTAATAGGATTTGCTGAGGTACCAGATGTGGCCTGTGAGAAAACAATCAAGAATCAGGATGACACCAAGGTTTTGACCTGAGCAACTGGAAGAGTAAAGTTGATTTTTTCTTCATATTGGAAAAAATGCAGAAGAAAATGGTTTTGAGGAAAATATTGTGAGTTTGGATTTAGACAAATTTTATAAGATGGACAATTTAAGACACTCAATTTCTTAATGAAACAAGTAACAAACCTATACTAGAATAAGCCTTTCCAGTGCGATTGCCTGCTCTCTTGTTTTGCCCAAACTGGCTACCAAAATAATTGTAATAGTTTGAGAGGTTCCACTTAATATAAAAATATTATAATACCTGTAAAGGTCATTGACATTATGACTATATATTAAAGCATCAATAAGAAATTATGTAAGAGTTATTTAACCTATACTTTGTGATAAGAACTACCTACAGTGAAACACACCTTTAACAGTTGTATATTATATATACAAATGATATATAATAAGATTTAAGTGTAAACTGTCAATTTATCTCAACCCTCCAAATAGACAAAAACCAAAACATAAAACACAAACAAAACAGTATTTCATAAGTTCTACCTGAGAAAATGGTGCCTTTTCTAGGTCAAGCTAACTCTCTCTTTTTTTTTTTTTATCATATCTAAATTCTGCTGTTCCTCTTTTGAGTATCCAGAGCTGCTTTTCCTCCTCTCCCTCACCTCATGTCTTCTTGTTAAAAAAATTTTTATTTAGGTTTGGAGGTACATGTGAAGGTTCATTACATAGATAAACACATGTCCCTGGGGTTTGTTGTACATATTACTACATCACCCAGGTATTAAGCTCAGTACCCAATAGTTATCTTTTCTGTTCCTCTCCTTCTTCCCACCCTTCACCCTCAAGTAGACCCCAATGTCTGTTGTTTCCTTCTTTGTGTTCATAAGTTCTTATCATTTAGCTCCCACTTATAAGTGAGAACATGTGGTATTTGGTTTTCTGTTCCTGCGTTAGTTTGCTGAAGATAATGGCCTCCAGCTCCAGCCATGTTCCCACAAAGGACATGATCTCTTTCATTTTTATAGCTGCATAATATTCCATGGTGTATACATACCACATTTTCTTTATCCAGTCTGTCACTGATAGGCATTTAAGTTGATTCCATGTCTTTCCCATTGTGAACAGGGCTGCAATGAACAGCCGTGTGCATGTGTCTTTATGGAAGAATGTGTTATATTCCTCCGGGTATATACCCAGTAATGGGATTACTGGATCAAACAGTAGTTCTGCTTTTACAGAACTGCTTTTAAGAACATCTTCCAGGACTAGGTTTGAGCTATTGGGTGGGGCCACTGTTGACTTACAACCATTCAAGCATAGATTTTAGAATATTTGAATATTGTCATTGACAGTGGAAATATTGAACTCTAGAACTCTAGTAGCTTTGGAGGCAAACAGACTTGAGTTCAAATCCTGACTCTACCACCTGTTTACTGTGGCAAGTTGATTAAACAACTAATTTGAACTTTTCTGTGCCTCAGTTTCTCCAACTGAAAATAAGGAGCACAGTATCCATGACCAGAATTTCAGCAAAGTCCAAAAAAAAAAAAAAAAAGGATTTGGGTGATATAGAAAGGAGCTAACAAGGGAATGGAAGTCAAGGAAGGAAAGAAGGCAACAAAGAGTGTTCAGCCAACTCTGAGACTGAATGGAAATATAGAGCTTTCTAAATGGAAGACAAGTGAAATCCACAAAAAATGCTCATTTTCAACTTTGGATATGCTATTGAAGCAATAAATAATTCAGGAATTTCTATAATAATGTGTATATAATGCAGTGTTTTAAGCTGTTACACTGTTTCATAACATTAACTTTATATTTTGAATGATCCAGTTATAGAGCAAACACTTGATATGTGCCTTAGGAAATGTTCATTTTTTTATTGCTATAATTTTATAAATAATTTCAGATATTCCTCAAATGCATTTTTCTTAGTTTCAAATAAATTTCAGTGTGCATGAAAAAGATTTCCCTTTCATTTGAGTGATGGAAAATTAATTATGATCTAGAAAAACCTGTGTTCTAGGATAAGAAAATTTATAGAGTTTTAAGAGAAAAAAACTGGCTTAGCTACTAGTCCTACCAAGGGGTGAACTGGCAGTAGCTAAATATACTGCTCTCAAAGCTAAAATGAATTCAAAGCTACATAAAAAAATTCAACTTGAGTTTTAAATTTAGAACCTACAATTGACAAAAGCAAAAAAAAATGAGAGCCTATTCTGGCTAGAAGGTTGCAGAGAAGAAATTCTGGGGAAAAAAAATTAGGAGAATGATCCTTTGCCTAAGTTCCATGCAGTAGAGATTTTTACTTCTACCCTCTTAAAACTTGCCCTCTGTGTTGAAATTGAACTTCAAAAACTCAATATAAGTTTCCTAAAGGTTATTGTATAATAGAGAGTTTTGCCATGGCATTTCTAAGGAACCAATAACTGAAGTTAAAACCAGGAGTCTGTAAAAAAAATATGTATCTTCACACCATCTCTATTTAACTGGAAAACAAAACAAAACAAAGAAAAATGGGAAACAACTGAGAAGGGAAAGAAATGGACACTTGAACTTTTTTCTGGTTCCTCGTTCCTGGTTCAAAAATGGACACCTCCACCAATGATGCACCTAGCCTGACTTTGCTGGGTCAGACTGACACACAGAGTTGCTCCTCAAAGAGAATCTGGAAGGAAGTACTCCATGGAACATGCTTCATCCTGTCGTGGGTTTTTCATTTCTTATCGATCACTTGAGTGTGAACAATCATATAAAATGCTAGCTAACTAGGAACCTATACTATCAGTTCCAGCTATTAGACTCTCACCCAGGAATAAGGCTTTTTTGTTTGTTTGTTTTATTTTCTCATCTATTTCTAGGACCCATCTTTTCTGTACTTGTGCTCTGGGATTAATTGCTTTGGTATACATTTTTTTTTAAACTTAGTATTCTAGGAAGTCCTTTTTCCCCTGCTATCATGGTCCCCAATTTATTCTTGACTCTATTAAGGTAACACATTTCTCTGTCATCATTTTAGACAGACTCACACAATACACTTTTCCATATGTTCTAACTAAAATAAGTTTCTGTTTTACATATACAATATACTTTTCTGTATGTTCTAACTTGCCAAAATAACTCTCTATCTTCTAATTTACATACATTACAAATATACAGTATTTCCCCTCCTGGATCAGTGGGGAAGTCTTTGAAGTGTTGTGAATAGAACAGAGGGGTCCATGTTGAGTAATCTCTTCTTTACCATACAGATGCTTAGATTGGTCAAGGCTTTAGGCATTTCATAGAAGTATTTACTTCCCACTGATATCCAAAATAAGAGTCCAGAATGAGTGTGCTGGGAGTCTTGCCCTGTTTTTAGCAGAAGGAATGTTTTCATTTTAAACGTGTTCATTCATGAGTATCAATAATCATCCTAAGCTCAAAAAGGTCACCTTTTCTAAAGCATCACTTACAACCAACTTTCTCCTTTACCCTCAAATTAATTTTATTTTTAGTTATTATTTTTTCTGTCAGCATTTGGGAATTTCAACAGAAGCCATAAAAATTTCAGCCAGATGCAGAATCATGGAGGGTCACAGCAGAGCATGAAGTTAGCTGTGTTCATTCCTCTGGGCTTTTTGTTTACCCATTCCTCTATTACAAGCAAAGAGAAGACATGTCAATATAATTTGCTTTTATTTTTATATTAGAGAGATGTCTTACTCCACCTTAAAATGTAACTCAGAGGATGTAGTTAAAATATAATTATAATGATGCTAGCCCTTTCCTTCAGGACATGGTGACATTGCTGGAAGTGGCTGCAAAACTTTGTTGTGTGACCTCAAGAGGAAAATATCTCTTACCCTCATAATAGTCTTTTTCAGAGGTTGCTGTTTTGTTTTTCAAGACCAAGAATCTTCTTCTCAGGATACAGAACTTGAGGACTTTTACCAGCTAGCTATTCATTGTATCGAACATGTATTAATATTTTCTTACCAAATTAGGGTGTATATCGTCTTAGCTTATTTTTAATTCCATGTTTATCTGCATTGTGTTATCATTTTATTTTATCTCTTTTTTCATGAATTCCTTAATTCTCACCAACCCAGATTTTCTCTATGCTTGTCAGTTCCTGTTCCAGTTATCTGTTGCTATAAACATACCACCTTAAAACTTTTCGTAGTTTGAAATACAAATTCACTGTTTTCTCTCAAGGTTCTGTGTGTTGACTTGGCTCAGCTGCATGATTCTCACTTGTGATTTCTCAAATGGCACAGTCAGAGATGGGGTGCAAGAGTCATCCCAAAACTTGACTGAGCTGCACATCCGATATGCCACAGTGCTTCTCCACATGATCACTCTGTCCTGCAGAATAGGCTGGACTTCCTATATGGTAGCTCAGGATTTAAAATGCTCAGTCAGAAATGGGATCTAATTAAACTAAAGAGCTTCTGCACAGCAAAAGAATCTATCATCCGAGTGAATAGACAACCCACAGAATGGGAAAAAATGTTTGCAATCTATCCATCTGACAAAGGTCTAATATCCAGAGTCTATAAGAAACTTAAACAAATTTACAAGAAAAAAACAAAAACCAACAGCCCCATTAAAAAGTGGGGAAAGAACATAATTAGACACTTTAGAAAAGAAGACATACATGTGGCCAGCAAATACGTGAAAAAAAGCTCAACATCCCCACTGATCATTACAGAAATGCAAATCAAAACCACAATGAGATACCATCTCACACGTCACAATTACTATTATTAAAAAGTCAAAAAAACAACAGATGTTGGTGAGGCTGCAGATAAAAAGGAATGCTTTTACACTGTTGGTGGGAGTATAAATTAGTTAACCATTGTGGAAGACAGTGTGGCAATTCCTCAAAGACCTAGAGGCAGAAATACCACTTGACCCAGCAATCCCATTACTGGGTATATATCCAAAGGAATGTAGCAGATCACGAGGTCAAGAGATCGAGACCATCCTGGCCAACATGTTGAAACCCCATCTCTAGCAAAAAAAAACAAAAACAAAAAACAAAAACAAAAAAAAAAACTGTTGTGGTGGTGTGCACCTGCAGTCCTAGCTACTTGGGAGGCTAAGGCAGGAGAATCCCTTGAACCCGGGAGGCAGAGGTTGTAGTGAGTGGAAATCATGGCACTGCACCCCTGCCTGATGACAGCGTAAGACTCTGTCTCAAAAAAAAAAAAAGAATATAAAGAATATAAAGCATTCTATTATAAAGAAACATGCACATGTATGTTTATTGCAGCACTATTCACAATAGCAAAGACATGAATGTGCATCAATGATATACTGGATAAAGAAAATGATATAAATGCCCATCAATGATATACTGGATAAAGAAAATGTGGCATGTGTACACCATGGAATACTATGCAGCCATAAAAAAGAATGAGATCATGTCCTCTGCAGGGACATCGATGGAGCCAGAAGCCATTATCCCCAGCAAACCAATGCAGGAACAGAAAACCAAATACTGCACGTTCTCACTTATAAGTGGGAGTTGAATAATGAGAACACATGGACACAGGGAGGGGAAAAACACACACTGGGGCCTGTTGGAGGTGGGGTATCAGGAATAATAGCTAATGCATGCTGGGCTTGATACCTAGGCGATAGGAGGTACTGTGCAGTAAATCACCATGACACACATTTACCTGCGTTAACAAACCCGCACATCCTGCGCATGTACAGACCTTAAAAGTTGAAGAAAAAAAGATAGTCGGTTAAAAATTAATTAACTGGATTTGTTGGTCTAAGAATAAAAGTTTCCATGCAAATTGAAAGCAGAGATTGACAGGCTAGTTTTATGGCCTAAGCCTGGGACTGTTGCACAGTTACTCTCCACTTGTTCGTCAAAACTGTCAGATTGAAGCGGGTGCAGAAATAGGCCTCACACCTTGATGGAGAAGTGGCAGCCTCACATTGCAGAATAGCTTGAGGAATGGGAGATAACGTTTCAGTCATTTTTGGAGAATACAGTGTGCCTAAGACATACCCCGGGTGTAATTCAGGTATTGGGCATTCACTGACAGTTATTCTCAGAATGTTTGGTGTACTGGATTTGATCATGGCCCATTTTATGTAGCAGGAGTAATGGTTGTGCTGTTGATTTTACAGAACTAACCTACAGCTAGAACCAAGATCAAGCTTCCCCTCAGCTGGCTAAGAGGTGAGACATACCTGATCATTCTTGTTACAGAATTTTGAAAGACAGTATAGTGAAAAAGTTACCTTTAAATATTATTTATCAAAGATAATACTTCTTGCTGTGCCTAGGTCCTGGAACTGTCAGAAACATCTCATCAAATAGCTGCAGAGGGTGGATTGCTTGAGCCAGAGATGGAGACTAGCCTCAGCAGCATGGCAAAACCTTGTCTACTAGAAAATACAAAAATTACCCTGGTGTGGTGGTGCACACCTGTAGTCCCAGCTCTTGGGGCCGCTGAGGCAGGAGGATCACCTGAGCCTGGGAGGTCGAGCCTGCAGTGAGCTGTGATTGCACCACTGCACTCCAGCCTGGGTGACAGAGCAAGACCCTGTCTCAAAAAATAAAACTAATACATAAATATGTAGCTGCAGAAAGGAGAAAATCCTCAGGTTGCTCTATCAAACATCAGAAATGTTCCTGAGTTTTTAAACAAAGTTTGAAGCAAAGGACAAAGCTTCAAATTGAAAACAAACAAACAAAAAAAACACAAAGAAAAGAGAAAAAGATACAATTTATCTCTTAAGTGATTAATGACAACAACATTTTCAAAATGATCATAGTTTATACAATCATCTAAAAGGGGATCAGTGAACTATGGCCTGTGGGCCAAATCTGACTCATCACCTGTTTTGGCAGATAAAGTTTTATTGGAACACAGTCATGTTCATTTGTTTACGAATTGTCTATGGCTGCTTTCACTACAGTGTCAGAGTTGAGTAATTGTGACAGAAACCATATAGCCTGCAAAGCAATCCACCCTCTGCAGCTATTTGATGTTTCTGACAGTTCCAGGACCTAGGCACAGCAAGAAGTATTATCTTTGATAAATAATATTTAAAGGTAACTTTTTCACTATACTGTCTTTCAGAATTCTGTAACAAGAATGATCAGGTATGTCTCACCACTTAGCCAGCTGAGGGGAAGCTTGATCTTGGTTCTAGCTGTAGGTTAGTTCTGTAAAATCGACAGCACAAATTCTGCAAAGCCAAGAATACTTTCTATCTGGTCTTTTAAAAAAGAAGTTTGCTGACTTTTGCTTTTTAGTGAAAGCTTGCTGACCCCTTATTAAAATAGTGAGGGCAGAATTTATATTTTAAAAAGAGATAAGATGAATTCTGTACATATTAATGGTGGTCTTATCTTCCTGGACCCTGGGAACCATGAGATACAAGGGAGAAGCCTCCTGAGAAAGACCAGGATGTAACAGAATGTAATTTGCATGAGAACCTTTATTCTTCAACCAACAAATCAAGTTAATGAGTTTCTAACCCACTAAGTATTTTAAAGAGCTAGGGCAGAAAATATTTGCTACACTGTACATGGATAAACAAAATGTCCAAGTCATTGCTTCATGGTTTACTTTCAATTGATGTTGATTCTTTTTTTTAACCCGAGATTCATGTTTCTTTACTTTAGATTTTCCTTTTCAAAAGAAAAGGAAAAAAGTGTGTATGCTTTTCTGCCTTTCTCACACTTCCACTATTTGTTCTCCTCATCATTCAAAGAGATCCACTTTGCCTGGAGAAGGATTGGAGTTTTTGACAGAAAGGATCCAAATGAAAAGAAAGTCAACATTTGTTTTCTTACTGCTGAAATAGACTCTTGAAGCCCGCATCAGAAACAATCATTTTGAAAGCTAAAGCTTTAGTTTTGCAAAAGTATTGTTTGTTTTACCTTTTTGGTTAAAGAAAGCGTGGTAGAAAATCAACATGGCCAACTATGAAGGATGCAGGGCATAGAATTTATGTCACAATAATAAACTGAAAAGGAGAGGGATATTTAGTGAGCCTCACAGATTAAAGATGGGTCCCCTCTGCTATCCTGTCTGCTACCAGCTGCAGAGGATATTGATTGAGTCATCGTGTTGAAGGAGGTAAGAAGGACTTGAAATGAGAGGACAAAATACAGGGTGATCCTGGGAAAAGGGCAGAGTCATCTTTGAGAAGCAGTTACACTGTGGCCACGCTGATACCTACAGACCATCCACCCACACAGTGGGTGAGCAGCCATTGAGCACACCACTGCCTGGCGAGGTCCTGCATGTCTACCATGAATTATCTTGTAAGAGTCACCCTCTTTGATGCGTCAAAAGCTTTTTTTAGCCAGTCCACACTCCTATGTGGCCAGCCTCCTTCTGAAACGTCCAGGACACTCAATGCTTCCCAAACTTTGAGATCTGGAAGAGGTATTCAGGGGAGCTGCTCTGCTGCAACTTCCTGACAACCTTGCACAACTCCATACCAACCATGTCTTTATGGATTACATATGGGACCAGAATTGACTGCAGTACAACCTGAGTCTTGGCAAAGTACCCTGCAATTCCTCCTGCAGCAGGAAAGGATAAGCAAGCTGGTGAAGAGATGCCATGGGCAGTTCCCACCCACCTCCCTACCTTGTGGAAGATGACCACAAGGCCATTTCTCATTCGTCTCTTTAGTTTCAGTTGAGCACAGGACTTTTGACCTTGCTCCCTTAGGGTTCAACTGCAGACTTCTTTGTGAGTATACCTATTTGGCTAAGGGGTAGAGCTGACTCCTCAGTAGCAGAACGACCTACCACCTGTGCCATCTGTCATCTGGCCTCTCTGTTCAGTGTCATTCTATGGAATTAGAGATGCAGGGAGCTGACACCATACAGGTGATGCTTATGTTTTTTGTGTATGTAATAAAATGTCTGACTGTATTTGACTTCATGGTCCCCCTACTGGCTGAATCTGTGGAAGTGTGGTGTGTGAACCTAGCAGCTGCATTCAGGAGCTTCGTAACCCAGTTACCAACCACACTGCTGCCCGGGGACCACTTAATTGCTTGACGGGTTGTGAGTGGGAAAGTCCTGGGAGTCTGCACTTGGGTAGAAGTGGAGATTACAAAACCCACCCCAATTATCCAAGTTACTCAAAACTAGATGGGTTATCCTGGAAAGCATGATGAGTCAGGTGATTGGGCTTCCCACTAGCTTAAAAATATGAAATAATACGCCAATCAAAAGACTCTGAGACTAAGCACTGAGTGTTGAGTGGAAGTTCTACTGCCAAGAAGGAAATCCATTTCAACCAAGAGAGGATAGACTTTGGGAGGTAAGACTTGGCGGGAAAGTCGGGTGAGACATTTTTTTTTAAAGCCAAGACTCACAGTCTTTGTCCTACATTGGAGAAAGACAGTGCTGGGTGTTGGTTTGGCAGGCACTGTGTGGGCTAGTTGGTTAGGCATCAGGTAAGGGCTGTGTTGGCCATTTGTGGTTGCTTTCGTAAGTGGTCTTGTGCTGCATATATGAGGTGTGCACGCTGGGATTATGGTGCCCAGCTGCTGTCTGTGTGAATGAGGGCTCCCCTGCAGCTTTATGGTGCTCAGGGGTCTTTAACTTCTCTTCTTGGGCCATCCTTACGGGACTATGAAATCTGGTTGCCCCTGCTTCTATTTGTATGGAGCACCCTTGCAGGCTTACGGGGCCTCAGGGTCCCTTTCACTAGGAGCCAGATGGTACTGTCATCACGAGGCTAGGTGGCCACATTAGGATAAATAACAAGTATCATTCAGGATTTTCTTTTCATTTCCACAAAGCAGCAACAATGACCAAAAACAGCACACATACATGTTTTGCCCACTTGCTTGTCTTAATCTGATTTCAAAACTCTCTTAAAAGGCATTCAAAAGACTAAATTCAAACTATATGTACCTCAGGTCTTACTTTGCTATTGGTTTTGAAATAACTTGAAAGCCTGAGTCTTACCAGTCTACCTTTTCCTCTTTCTGGTGTGGATAGCTGCCGGCAGGCCAGGGGAGCACTGCATTTGTTTATGTAAATGGGTATGGTCAGAAGGAGCAAAGTGTTGAAGTTCCTACCTTGAGTATGTAAACATGTTGTGATGAAAATGGCATCTTCTCTTGGGGAAAAAAAAGAAAAAATTCTTGGATTTCAGCTTTAAAACTGGATAATTACGAAATAGCACCTGAGGTTAGGCTTTCTCAAAAGCAGACACTGAGACATGGGTCTGAGTGCCTCTAGTTAACTTGGTAAGTGACCTCAGCAAGCCTACGCTAGAGAGTGGGGCAGGGAGGCAGGAGAGGAGGAAAGCTAACAATAAGCAGATGGCCATGTGGGCAATGGGGGCTCAGTCTAATAGGTAAGTATATATATAAAGAGGCACACAGAAATAAGAACATAAATATGGCACTAGGCACAGTGGCTCATGCCTGTAATCCCAGCACTTTGTGAGGCCGAGGCAGGCAGATCACGAGGTCAGGAGTTCAAGACCAGCCTGGCCAACATGGTGAAACCCCATCTCTACTAAAAATACAAAAATTAGCCGGGCGTGGTGGCACATGCCTGTAATCCTAGCTACTTGGGAGGCTGAAGTAGGAGAATTGCTTGAACCCAGGAGGCGGAGCTTGCAGTGAGCCAAGACTGCACCACTGCACTCCAGCCTGGCAACAAGAGTGAGACTCCGTCTCAAAAAAACCCCCAAAAAACATAAATATGGCAAAATATTAACAATGAGTGAATCTACGTGAAAGGTCTAATAGGCGCTCTAGTCTTCCCTTTCTGAAGGCCTGACATTTTTCAAAATAAAAAGTTAGGAAAAATTGAGCCAGGCATAGTAGCTCACACCTGTAATCCTAGCACTTTGGGAGGCTGAGGCTGGTGGATCACCTGAAGTCAGGAGTTTGAGAACAGCCTGGCCAACATGGCAAAACTTGGCCTCTACTAAAAATACAAAAATTAGCCAGGCGTAGTGGTGGGCGCCTATAATTCCAGCTACTCAGGAGGCTGAGACAGGAGAATCGCCTGAACTTGGGAGGTGGTGGTTGCAGTGAGCCAAGATTGCACCACTGCACTCCAGCCTAGGTGATACAGCGAGATTCCGTCATAAAACAAAACAAAACAAAACAAAACAAAACAAAACAAAAACGGAGGATCATGGCGGATGGGTTGGGAGGAAGGACTAGATTGCAGCTCTGGACAGAGAAGCATGTGGAGGCTTGCGTTGTGAATTTTAGCTCTAGATTGACTGCAAGAACAAACCAACAATCCCAACAGGAGCCACAGACCCTCTGAAGGACGTGGACTGCTCCTGCAGGACCTGGGAGACACCTCAAATACTGTGAGTGCCCCAACTGTGGAAGTGGGAAAGGGAAACCCTCCTCTCCCAAACACACACCTCCACGGGAGAAGCTGAAGTTCTGTTTGTGGGAGAGGTTTCCGATTTTACCAGGAGCTGAGTCAAGTTAGAGAGCCAGTGAAATACAGGGGTAGAGGAAGCAGCAAAAAAGCCCTAGGAGTTCACTGAGTCCCCAAGCAGCCTATTGTTGTCTGGCATCACAGAGATCCATCAGAAGAGTGGCCAGAGGAGCAGGGGGTAAAACTCCACAGGGAGAAGGAATTCTCTAGCTGAACTTCATAACAATTTGAACGGAGCAGAAAGCCTCCTGGCCAGAACTCCGGGGAGGGCATGAATCTGGAGTGCAAACTTCACAGGCTGGGGAAGAACTAAAGCCCTTTTCTTTCACATCTGGGAGTTGGATAGCCTTGGGCAGGTTTTCAAGCCCATCTAACTCTCTCCCTGGAAACAGACTTGGGGATGTTGGTGGGGACACGGTGGGCGTGAGGCTGGCCCTTCAGTTTGCATGGGAGCTGGGTGAGGCCTGTGACTGCAGGCTTTCCCCGACTTCCCTGACAACCTGCATGACTCAGCAAAGGCAGCCATAATCCACCATCCCCCACTACAGCCGCAGCATGACTAGCCCAAGGAGAATCTGAGCTCAGACATGCCTAGACCAACCCCCACCTGATAGTCCTTCCCTATCCACCCTGGTAGTGGAAGACAAAGGGCATAAAATCTTGGGAGTTCTAGGGCCCTGCCCACCACCAGTCCCTCTCCACGCTACAGCTGATGCTTTCTGGAAAGTCCCACCTCCTGCCGGAGGCCAGCCAGCACAAAAATAGAGCATTAAACCACCAAAGCTAAGGACCCCCATGGAGTCCATTGCACTCTCTGCCACTTCCACTGGAACAGGCACTGGTATCCATGGCTGAGAGACCCATAGATGGTTCACATCACAGGGCTCAGTGCAGACACCCCACAGTACGAGCTTGGAGCTGGGTAGACAGCTAGACCCAGAAGAGAGACAACAATCACTGCAGTTCGGCTCACAGGAAGCCACATCCATAGGAAAAGGGGGAGCGTACTACACAGAGGGAACACTTTGTGAGACAAAAGAATCTGAACAACAGTCTTCAGCCCTAGACTGTCCCTGTGACAGAGCCCACCCAAATGAGAAGGAACCAGAAAACCAACCCTGGTAATATGACAAAACAAAGCTCTTCAACACCCCCCCAAAAATCATACTAGTTCACCAGCAATGGATCCAAACCTAGAAGAAATACCTGATTTACCTGAAAACGAATTCAGGAGGTTAGTTAATAGTTAAGCTAATTGTGTGTGTGTGTGTGTGGGGTGGGGGGGTTGGAGGGGAGGGGAGGACCAGAGAATGGTGAAGCCCAATGCAAGGAAATCCAAAAAATGATACAAGAAGTGAAGGGAGAAATATTCAAGGAAATAGATAGCTTAAAGAAAAAACAATAAAAAAATTCAGGAAACTTTGGACACACTTTTAGAAATGTGAAATGCACTGGAAAGTCTCAGCAATAGAATTATTGAACAAACAGAAGAAAGAAATTCAGAGCTCAAAGACAAGGTCTTCGAAACAACCCAATCCAACAAAGACAAAGAAAAAAGCATAAGAAAATATAAAAAAAGACTCCAAGAAGTCTGGGATTATGTTAACGACCAAACCTAAGAATAATCGGTGTTCCTGAGGAAGAAGAAAATCCTAAAAGCTTGGAAGACATAACTGGGAGAATAATCCAGGAAAACTTCCCCACTCTTGCTAGATACCTAGGCTGCAAATACAAGATGCACAAAGAACACCTGGGAAATTCATTGCAAAAAGATCTTCACCTAAGCACATTGTCATCAGGTTATCCAAAGTTAAGATGAAGGAAAGAATGTTAAGAGCTGTGAGTCAGAAGCACCAGGTAACCTATAAAGGAAAACCTATCAGATTAACAGCAGAATTATCAGCAGAAACCCTACAAGCTAGAAGGGATTGGAGCCCTATCTTCAGCCTCCTCAAACAAAACAATTATGAGCCAAGAATTTTGTATACAACAAAACTAAGCATCATATATGAAGGAAAGATACAGTTGTTTTCAGACAAACAAATGCTGGGAGAATTCACCATTACCAAGCCACCACTACAAGAACTGCTAAAAGGAGCTCTAAATCTTGAAACAAATCCTGGAAACACATCAAAACAGAACCTCTTTAAAGCATAAATCACACAGAATCTATAAAACAAAAATACAAGTTAAAAAGCAAATGCAAAAAGCAAAACAAAACAAAAACGAAAGTACACAGGCAACAAAGAGCATGATGAATGAAATGGTACCTCACATTTCAATATTAACATTGAATGTAAATGGCCTAAATCCTCCACTTAAAAGACACAGAACTGCGGAATGGATAAGAACTCACCAACAAACTATCTGCTACCTTCAGGAGACTCACTTAACACATAAGGACTCACATAAACTTAAAGTAAAGGGGTGGAAAAAGACATTTCATGCAAATGGACACCAAAAGTGAGCAGGGGTAGCTATTCTTATATTAGACAAAACAAACTTTAATGTAACAGTGGTTAAAAGAGACAAAGAGGGACATAATATAATGGTAAAAGGCTTTGTCTAACAGAAAAATATCACAATCCTAAACATATATGAACCTAACACTGGAGCTCCCAAATTTATAAAATAATTACTAATAGACCAAAGAAATGAGATAGACAGCAAAACAATAATAGTGGGGGACTTCAATACTCCACTGACAGCACTAGACAGGTCATGAAGACAGAAAGTCAACAAAGAAACAATGGATTTAAACTATACCATGGAACAAACGGACTTAACAGATACATACAAAACATTTCATCCAACAGCCACAGAATACACATTCTATTCAACAGTGCATGGAAATTTCTCCAAGATAGACCATATGATAGGCCATAAAATGAGCCTCATAAATTTAAGAAAATTGAAATTACATCAAACACTCTCTCAGGCCACAGTGGAATAAAACTGGAAAGCAACTCCAAAAGGAACCTTCAAAACCATGCAAATACATGGAAATTAAATAATCTGATCCTGAATGAGCATTGGGTCAAAAATGAAATCAAGATGGAAATTAAAAAATTATTTTAAAGCATTCCCTCTGAGAACTGGAACAAGACAAGGATGACACAACCTATTAACAGGACAATAATGACACAACCTATCAAAACCTTTGGGACACAGCAAAGGCACTGCTAAGGGGAAAGTTCATAGCCCTATATGTCTACATCAAAAAGTCTGAAAGAGCACAAATAGACAATCCAAGGTCACACCTCAAGGACATAGAAAAACAAGAACAAACCAAACCCAAGCCCAGCAGAAGAAAGAGAATAACCAAGATCAGAGCAGAACTAAATGAAATTGAAACAAACAAACAAAAAATACAAAAGATAAATGAAACAAAAAGCTGGTTCTTTGAAAAGATAAATAAAATTGATAGACCATTAGTAAGATTAACCAAGAAAAGAAGAGAGAAAATCCAAATAACCTCACCAAGAAACAAAACAGAAATTACAACTGACACCACTGAAATACAAAAGATCATTCAAGACTACTAGCAACACCTTTACACACATAAACTAGAAAACCTAGAAGAGACGGATAAATTCTTGGAAAAATACAACCCTCCTAGCTTAAATCAGGAAGAATTAGATACCCTGAACAAACCAATAACAAGCAGCGAGATTGACATTGTAATTAAGAAATTACCAACAAAAATAAAGTCCAGGACCAGACAGATTCACAGCAGAATTCTACCAGACATTCAAAGAATTGGTGCCAATCTTTTGACACTATTCCACAAGACAGAGAAAAAAGGAGCCCTTCTTAATTTATTCTATGAAGCCAGCACCACCCTAGTACCAAAACCAGGAAAGGACACAACCAAAAAAGAAAACTACAGACTGATATCCTTAATGAACATAGATGCTAAAATCCTTAACAAAATACTAGCTAATTGAATCCAACAATATATCCAAAAGATAATCTATCATGATCAAGTGGGTTTTATACCAGGGATGCAGGGGTGGTTAACATACACAAGTCAATAAATGTGATACACCACATAAACAGAATTAAAAACAAAAATCACATGATTATTTCAATAGATGCAGAAAAAACATTTGAAAAAATCCAGCATCCCTTTATGATTAAAACTCTCAGCAAAATTGGCATACAAGGGACATACCTTAATGTTATAAAAGCCATCTACAACAAACCCACAGCCAACACAGTACTGAATGGGGAAAAGTTGAAAGCATTCCCTCTGAGAACTGGAACAAGACAAGGATGAGCTCTCTCACTACTCCTCTTCAACATAGTACTGGAAGTCCTAGTCAGAGCTAGGAGAAAGAAATAAAGGGCATCCAAATTGGTAAAGCGAAAGTCAAACTGTCACTGTTTGCTGAGGTATGATTGTTTACTCTGAAAACCCTAAGGATCCCTCCAGAAAGCTCCTAGAACTCATAAAAGAATTCAGCAAAGTTTCTGCCTACAAGATTAATGTACACAAATCAGTAGCTCTTCTATATACCAACAGTGATCAAGCAGAGAATCAAATCAAGAACTCAACCCCTTTCACAATAGCTAAAAAAAAAAAAAACAAAAAAAAAAAAACAAACAACTTAGGAATATACTTAACAAAGGAGTGGAAAGACCTCTATAAGGAAAACTACAGAACACTGCTGAAAGAAATCATAGACGACACATATAAATAGGACACATCCCATGCTCATGGATGGGTAGAATCAATATTGTGAAAATGAACATATTGCCAAAAGCAATCTACAAATTCAATGCAATCCCCATCAAAAAACCACCATCATTCTTCACAGAATTAGAAAGAACAATTCTAATATTCATATGGAACCAAAAAAGAGCTCACATAGTCAAAGCAAGACTAAGCAAAAAGATCAAATCTGGAAGCATCACACTACCTGATTTCAAACTATGCTATAAGGCCATAATTACCAAAACAGCATGGTACCAATATAAAAATAGGCACATAGACCAATAGAACAGAATAGAGAACCCAGAAATAAACCAAATACTTACAGCCAATTGATCTTTGACAAAGAAAACAAAAACATAAAGTGGGGATAGGGCACCCTTTTCAACAAATGGTCCTGGGATAATTGGCAAGCCCTATGTAGGAGAATGATACTAGATCCTCATCTCTCACCTTATACAAAAATCAACTCAAGATGGATTAAGGACTTAAATCTAAGACCTGAAACTATAAAAATTCTAGAAGATAACATTGGAAAAACTCTTTTAGACATTGGCTTAGGCAAGGATTTCATGATCAAGAACCCAAAAGCAAATTCAATAAAAACAAAGATAAATAGCTGGGACCTAATTAAACTAAAGAGCTTTTGCATGACAAAAAGAACAGTCAGCAGAGTAAACAGATAAGCCATGAAGTGGGAGAAAATCTTCACAATCTATACATCTGACAAAGGACTAATATCCAGAATCTACAACGAATTCAAACAAATCAGTAAGAAAAAAACAATCCCATCAAAAAGTGAGCTAAGGATATGAATAGACAATTCTCAAAAGAAGATGTACAAATGGCTAAAAACCATGAAAAAATGCTTAACATCATTAATGATCAGGGAAATGCAAATCAAAACTGCAATGCTGTACTACCTTACTCCTGCAAGAATGCCCAAATCAAAAAAATCAAAAAAAACAGTAGATGTTGGCATGTATGTGGTGAACATGGAATGCTTCTACACTGCTGGTGGGAATGTAAACTACTACAGCCACTATGGAAAACAGTGTAGAGATTCCTTAAAGAACTGAAAGTAGAGCTACCATTTGATCCAGCAATCCCACCACTGGATATCTACCCAGAGGAAAAGAAGTCATTATTTGAACACATGTATATTTATTGCATATTTGAACACATGTATATTTATAGCAGCACAATTCACAATTGCAAAATCGTGGAACCAACCCAAGTGTCCATCAATCAATGAGTGGATAAAGAAACTGTGGTATATATATATATATATATATATATATATATATATATATATATATATATATATATGATGGAATACTATGCAGCCATAAAAAGGAATGAATTAACAGCATTTGCAGTGACCTGGATGAGATTGGAGACTATTATTCTAAGTGGAATAACTCAGGATTGGAAAACCAAATATCGTATGTTCTCACTGATATGTGGGAGCTAAGCTATGAGGATGCAAAGGCATAAGAATGATACAGTGGACTTTGGGGACTTGGGGGGAAGAGTGAGAAGGGGTGAGGGAAAGACTACAAACGAGGTGCAGTGTATAGTGCTCGGGTGATGGGTACACCAAAATCTCACAAATCACCACTAAAGAACTTACTCATGTAACCGAATACCACCTGTACCCTAATAACTTATGGGAAAAAATATATATTTATTTAAAACCAAATTTTTTAAATTTGTGGTTTGAATATTTGAGAAACGAATTTTGGAATAAAGATATAATAAGACAAAAAGTTTGAAAAAATGAATGTTATGATGCATGGACAGTCTCATAACTGGTAACTAACAGACTAAAATTACCCCAAACACAGTATTCTTCATTTTCATATGCTCAATGTGTGAACATTGTCTGGCTCTGTAGATGTTCAGTACATCTTATCAATTAATAAATTAAAAGATGAATGCATTTTTGTTCTTTTTGCTCTTTCTATCTACTTTCCTTCTTTACTCCCATTTTAAATGGCTTTCAGGTTTATATTAAGGTGTGACTTGCTGTTAAGTCTTTGTATATCAGCCCTCCTTTGTGCGTATGTGTTGTGTAAGAGTTTTTTTCTACCTCATTCCACCCCTTGTCCAGCTAAAATTAAGCCAAGTAGAAGTAGGATTGCCAGATAAACGAAGCACTCAGTTAAAGTTGAGTATCAGGGCCGGGAGTGGTGCCTCACACCTGTAATCCTAGCACTTTGGGAGGCCGAGGTGGATGGATTACTTGAGGTCAGGAGTTCAAGACCAGCCGCCTGGCCAACATGGTGAAACCCTGTCTCTACTCAAAATACAAAAATTTAGCCAGGTGTGGTGGTGTGTGCCTGTAATCCTAGGTACTCGGGAGGCTTAGGTAGGAGAATGGCTTGAACCCAGGAGGCAGAGGTTGTAGTGAGCCGAGATGGTGCCACTGCACTCCAGCCTGGGTGATAGAGTGAGACTCTGTCTCAAAACATAAATATATAATAAAGTTGAGTATTAGATAGGTAGTGAATCATTTATTTAGTATAAGTATGTCCAAAATATTTCACAAAGGCCAAATATTGCATGGGGTATACTTATACTAAAAATTATTCATTGTTTATCTGAAATTCAAATTTAATAGGCATCCTATATATTTGTTATATCTGGTAACTCTAGTAAGAGCCATTCATTCCCCTGACGTGTATGGCTAACCCTGCCCACAAGCATGGCAAAGTCTTAGTTATGTTGATTTAGCCAAAAGAAAATGTTTACAGTGCCTCTTAGTTTTAAACTATAGTGGAAATAAGCTTTTCTCCTTTAGTGAAATTGTCTTCCATTTGTTTCACCTTTTCCATTATGAATCTCTCACTTCTCTTCTTAATTATAACACATTTGAAGGATTGCATTTTTATTTGTGATAAAACTCGTAGATTAGAATATACATACAGGTCACATAAAAATACATGAGGATGATAAACCTAATACACAGTGTTGCATAGGTAGTGCGATTAAGAAACTACACATTTATTGTATACAGTGTCATTAATGTCAATGAAATTCTTAGAAGCACTTCTTGTACAAAGAGTATGTTTTTGCAGTTAGCAATACTACAGGCATGTTAAAAACTACTATTTATAGAGCTACAACCTCAAACCATTCAATGAAATTTGATCTTATGAGTTGGTGTACTGCTTGATAAATGGTCCTGATTTACAATGATCATTCCATAACATGCCAGAAAAAAAAGGGACAAGAAGCCTATTACTTTGCAGAAGCAATTACAGAAAATCTGGAACGGTAGTACCATTCCTCATTATAATATGCACATTTGTTATATTGCACCTTCCTGAGTTGAACTTCGAAAATGGTAGCCGGATGCAAAGCCAGAATGGATGAATTCATCCCAGGCTGGAGCTTCACTGGTGGTGGTAGTAATTCTGACCATCATAGCCATCGTAGCCTTGTCCTTTAAAGTAGCTGTACTCATCTTCATAGGCTCGGTAATTGTCCCCACGAGGTTCCCCGTTCTCACTTTCATAGATTTCATATCCATTGTCGTATTCATTGGCGCCCGTGTATTCGTACTCCCCCTCGTATTCAACGGTGGTGGTTTTCCCAAAAGGTGGGGAAGTGGTTCTATAGACTTGTGGTGGGGTTGTAGGTTCAAACCCACCATTTGGAGAGGTTGTTGTCTTCGAGGTGCCCTTGCCCTGCCTTCCGGTCTCTGTGGTGTCTTCTGCATTGGCTCCAGTGACACTTTCTTCTTCCCCTTCTTCTCCATTGTCTCCTCCGCTGCTGCCGTTGCCGTTTTCTGCCTCTGTGCTGTTGGTACTGGTGCCGTTTATGCCTTGTTCGTTTTCATCCACTTCTGCTTCGCTTTCTTCGTTTTCATTTCCTTCCTCTTCCTCCTCTTCTTCTTCATCACTTTCCTTCTCTTTTGTAGCTTTATTTGTTATATCCCCAGCCTGTAAGGAAACGTTTGAAAGAACCCAAATCTAGCTGTGAAAAATGTAAAATTTAAGGCCGTCATTTCATGCAACACAATACTGACAGCCTTATTCTAGGCGTCTTATTTGAATTAAGGCCACTTTAATTTACAAAATGATTGGGGGCTTTAAAACTTCAGGATAAACCCCTTTGTCATGGGTTTTGATGGGGAAAGTGTGCCATTATTTAAAGATAATGCCTTTCCTGGGGGAGAGTCTTCCTATCGTTTTGCTACTCACTTTCTCTGTCTTGGAATTCTCTTCCCTGGAATGTCATGGTATCTCTCAGGACCTTTTATCCATGCCTAGTGGTGTGTTCTTAGTCTTCTGTTATAATGTAAAAGTCAGTGTAATAACATGGTAGGAGAACTTGCCTGGGAGAAGATATTTTCTTATTTGTAAATAGGAAAATTGTATCTGCTCTCACTTCAGCGAGTTAATGAAGATAGTATAAAATACTATGTGTGTAGTGTTAGGATACCCTTAGACTCCAGTTAAAAAGTTTAAAAAAGATTGAACATTACCATTATTATTAATGGTAATAATTTCATTTTGGAGGAATAATTCCATTGTTACCTTCTTGGGAAGCTGGATTGCAGCTAACCCTGTATACCCTGTGCCAGGCGTGGCGTCCTCTCCATAGCCCAGTGTTGTAGCAGAAAGTGTGGTATTCTCAGCCTCAGAGTCTTCATCTTCATTCGATTCTTCATTGTTTTCTCCTTCATTTGAAGTCTCCTGTTAAAAATATTCATAGTAAGAAAAATTATTTTACCTGGAAGATAGTTCAAGATTTACTGGAGCTGTGAATCATTTATTGAAGGTTTATTATTTGGAAAAACTTTGCATCCCTCAGCTGGCTGATCACTCAAAGCCTGCCTTCCCCTATGCCATTTGCACTTCTCACTTCCAAGAGCTCAACTCCAAGTTATTGAATCCTCCTTACTCCACACTATATGTTTTAGATATTTCTGCTTTGTATTTTATCAATTAAAAAATACTTGTGTTTCAGGCATTTGACACATCATTTTTTTTCTGCACAAAGAAGAAACTAAACACTCTAAGAAATTCTTAGTGATATATTATTGCATGAAGGTTTTTTGTTTTTGTTTTGTTTTGTTTTTGCAGAGTCATGCTCTGTTGCCAGGCTGGAGTGCAGTGGTGTGATCTTGGCTCACTGCAACCTCTGCCTCCTGGGTTCAAGCGATTCTCCTGTCTCAGCCTCCCCAGCAACTGAGACTACAGGCACATGCCACCACACCCAGCTAATTTTTGTATTTTTAGTAGAAACGGCGTTTCACCGTGTTGGCCAGGATGTGATCTTGACGTTGTGATCTGCCCGCCTCAACCTCCCAAAGTGCTGGGATTACAGGCATGAGCCACCGCGCCCAGTCTGCATGAAGGTGTTTTAAAAAATTAATACTCTTCAAATGAATGTCTATTATAATCTTTAATATTTAATCTTTTAGCCTTTATATCATATCGTGAGGCAATTGTTTTTTAATTGAGTTGATCTCAGTGTAATTTGTAGCTAATATAAAAAGTCAAGGTTTCCTATATATACAATTTATTTATTTTAAACAAATACTGGAAAATTGAATTCACTTCAATACATTTTAAGAGATTGTGATAACTTTTAAAGTTTAAAACAAACAAACAAATATTTAGCCTATTATTAAAACAAAGTGACTAAAGCACCACATGTTTGTTTCATCAAATTTGTAAATTTCACTATTTCAGTGAAGGGTTGCAATACCACCAGAGTATACCCCAAACAGTCTCCAAGCTAATTGTGTCAAATATCCCCAAAACACCATGTGTTTGTTTATTGTTTTATGTTTATGCTTTATTCCAACAGATGTTTCAGAGGTAGAAGGAGAAATTTATTCTACCATCCTTAGAAAGATCCCCAGAGTAGAAGAATATACTATTTGCAGTTGAAAAATCTGATTGGCTTATATGACTCATATGAGGTCAAATAGATAGCAGTTTATTGGTGGTAGGGTCACAACTAAAGGCCCAATATCCCAACTTTTATATTTTCTCTTACACCTTTTCTTTTCCCAGATACTTTATTTAAGGATGTTCCGCTGCACATGAGTTACATAGGAAAATAGGTTACTGTTGATGGGTATGAGGCTTCACAAATTTTATTGGATAGAAAAATAGCACTAATTTGCGCTTACAAAGATATTATCAACTCACTAGATTGGCTAACAAGACTGAAAGAAGCAAGTGTTGGTGAGAATGTGGAGCAACCGGAACCCTCATACACGGATGGTGAGAGTTTACCTGAGTACGTCTGTTTTGGAAAGCTGGTTGCCATCTACTAAGGTTGAATATATATGCCTCAGTAGATTTCGACTCCGAAATTTCACTTTTAGGTGAAATGGCCTCGAGAAATGAATATGTATATGTTCACCAGAATAAGTTCTAGAAAGTTCATAGCAGCACTTTGTAATCACCCAAACTTGGAAACTACTTAAGTGCCCATCAACAGAAGAATAACACATTTTGGTACATTCACGTAATGAAATACTAACAATGAGAATAAATGATCTACAACTACAGAACAACATGGATGAATCTCTAAATTTGAGAGTGAAGAAGTGACACACAAAGAGTAAATCATGTATGATCCTACATTCATAATATACAAAAACAGGCCAAAGTCAATCTATTAAGAGTCAAAATACTGCTTGCCTTTGGTAGGGGTTTGTTAATGAGTGGAATGGAACACAAGGCACGCACTGCTTTTTGATATGAGTGCTAGTTTCACTTACGTGTTCAATTTCTGAAATTTCAATGAGATGTATAATTAGGATAATTTTATTATGTATATTTCAATAAAAGTTTCTTTTATGTCTGGGCGCGGTGGCTCACTCCTGTAATCCCAGCACTTTGGGAGGCCGAGGCGGGCGGATCACGAGGTCAGGAGATCAAGACCATCCTGGCTAACATGGTGAAACCCCATCTCTACTAAAAATACAAAAAATTAGCCAGGCATGGTGGCCGGTGCCTGTAGTCCCAGCTACTTGGGAGGCTGAGGCAGGAGAATGGCGTGAACCTGGGAGGTGCAGCTTGTAGTGAGCTGAGATTAAGCCACTGAACTCCAGCCTGGGAAACAGAGCGAGACTCCGTCTCAAAAAAAAAAAAAAAGTTTATTTTATGAGACTAAATAGTTTAGGAGTGGAAAAAGGAAATGTGTGATCACCAAATAGAAAATATGCCTAAGTATTCTCCTCATACAAATACAATCCCTGGGGACTCTATATTTAACCTAAATTGCTAATAACATTTTAGAGAATGAGGAAAAAAGATGTTTCAGAATCTCTTCAGGATGAAAGACTTCTGGTTTTGTTTACCCGCTTTTCCATTACTACTTTTAATGAATGAAGTTTGTTGCATTTATTCCTCTGAAGTTTCAAAACCAAACCACCAGATATGTACTGGGCACCATATATGTATAAGAAATTATGCTAGGCAGCATGAAGAGATATAAAACTGAGTAGCATGGCTCTTCCCCAAAGCAGGGATTTTAACCTATGGTCATGAGGTGTCTGCAGACACGTTCTGGGAAGACCTTAAATGTTCAGAGATCCTTGGCAAAATTTTGTGTGTACTTGATTTCATCAGAGTCCCCAAAGAAGTCCTAGTCTTCCTCAGTCCTCAACCACCACAACAACAAACGAAGAGCCACTCCCAAAAGTTATGCAATCTAGTTGGGAAATGTAGTTGACAAGGCAATTTTACAATCACTGTACAGCAAATAGCTATAACTAAATGGATAACCTTAGCCTAGTTCTTGTGTAAGATTGCTATGTGGAACTCCAGCAGAAATGTTGTGGGATTTAGTGGGTGGCATTTTTCCTGGTACTGGCTTAACATTCTTGTAAGGCCTTCCTTCAAGATGTTAGTATAAATTATGATACGGGAAATGTTACTTTTATAGTTAAAAATATACCAAACTAATGATTCGTCACCTTTCAAGTTCCCACACCATTTTGTTTTCAAGACAGCTGTTAATACATGATCCATTTTTGAATATCATTGTCCATTCATAAATAGCACCTGAGAAAAGCTGAATTTAAAAGGTTCCTAAACCAGTGGTAGCTATAATTGACTATGCGGGAAAGATGCATCCTAATTGGTATGTTTCCTTAGGCAAGAGTATCAGTTATAAACATGGTAGCACAATTTCCAAGACATGTAGATGATTCTTAGCCCAGGACTACACTAATCTGTAAAACTATATGGGAAGATATTTATATACCTATGAATTTTATTACTACCCAAAAAGACGTATGATTTTTTTTTGTTGTTTTTGTTTTTTTTTTCTGTGACAGAGTCTTGCTCTGTTGCGCAGACTGGAGTGCAGTGACAGGATCTTGGCTCACTGCAACCTCCACCTTCCGGGTTCAAGTGATTCTCATGTCTCAGCTTCCCGAGTGACAGGAATTACAGGTGTATGCCACCACACCTGGCTAATTTTTGTATGTTTAGTAGAGACAGGGTTTCACCATGTTGGCTAGGCTGGTCTCAAACTCCTGACCTCAAGTGATCTGGCCGCCTTGGCCTCTCAGAGTGTTGGAATTACAGGCATGAGCCACCACAACAAGCCTGAAATTTTTTTAAAAAGAATAACCCTACTTTGTGGGTTATGAAAGGCTGATGAATCACAATAATATTGTAGAGGAGATATACGGGTTTTTACATATTACCCTCTTGGTAAATTAAATTGTAAAGTTCAGTCCTTAAAACAAGTCTTGCACTGAGTTTAGGATTACTATTCACTTGTCTTCTAACATCATGTTCTATCCACCTAAATAGAAGTAATGCTATCTGTTACTTTTTATCAGATTTTATACTACTTCTGTTGCTTTTTATCAGATTTTATACTACTTCTACTTAAAAGGGAGAGATTTTTGGTTTTGAGCACCATTTGTAAGTAATTTCAACCCCAAACTGCAATAGTGTTTTAAACAGGTCATGTTAGTGGATCCTAATTTAAATAAAATTCTGCTTATCCAAAATAGGATATTATGGGCAGTTAGTAAAGTGACAATGGCTATTTGCTGAGTCCAGAATGCAATAGACTAGTTTCCTATTTGTTTCTTGTGCTGTCTGCTTTATTACGAAAAGATTGCAAAATTCCTTACCTCTTCTTCCTCCTCCTCTTCTGAACTGTCATCTCCATTTTCTTCGGATGAGTCACTACTGCCCTAAAAATATATACACATGTATGTATACTCTTATCTGTGTACAAATATATTCAACAGCAATTTAAATTTCCTGCTAATTGAATCACAATAAAATACACACAAATATTTACTCAATCTAATTAGTATTACCATCTTGACTGACTTGTTTACTAAGAACAGATTGCATACTGATGTGAGAAAGATAGGAGATTAGACATGCAAAATGAAGTTAGAGAAAAATAGGCATTTTACTATGATCAAGATATGAATTGGATGTCCCATTTGTCAACTTCCAAAGCATTGACAATATATTGAAACATTTTGTATGTAAAAACTAGGGCAATGAATCACAGAATTGTTTAACTTTGAGAGAACAAGTGAATTAACTGGTCCAATTTTTAAATTTTATGGAGAATGAATCAGCGGCCTAAAAAAGTTGTGACTTCTCCAGCAGGTTCAAGGCAGACCTTGGGCTAAGATATAGTTCACATTTTAAAATTTTATTTAGAAAACATGAAAGAAATCATTCAGCTTACTATAAAAGTTGTTATAGATGATTCTCTTACATAGTGAGCTCTCCTGTTGAATTTAAATTAGCACTTAATTTAATAGCATTTAATTTGCATATAATTTTTAGTATCTTTAAATTTGATTAAAGCCAGTTCCTAAAATGAGGTTAATTTATACATGTGAAGTAAAAATCTTATGACTTATTCATTTAATTATTTGGGAGGTTGTGTAGAGTAATATCCCTCTAACAAGTTCAGTGTTGAATGAGAATAAATTAAGATTTTGTATATAAAAATATAATTATAAGCTAAAGAGTTTTGCTACTTTTTGAAAGGAAATGTAAATTCCAATCTAAGATTCTGTCATTTCCTTCCCTGCAATATTTAGCTTTGATTCTGATGACCCAGTTAATGTCTTGCATTTAGAAAATATAGCTGCAGAAGGATCTCTAACTTCTGGGTTAGAAATCAAATGTGAGACAACATTCATGTCCAGGTCCTGTGGGACTGTCCCTGCTGGCTCATTCTTCAGATGGCCACATCATCCACCCAAGGAAAGGGAATGCTTGTCACCTCGAGCCAGGAATAACCTCAGGTGGAAAAGAGAATAATTAAACCTGTTCTTCCACTGCCATGACCTTAATGGTTGTGCCTTCCCTAGCCCAGAGGGTGAATAGAGTATTATATTTGGACGATTTCTATTTGTTAGTTAACTTAATTATAGAGGACAGTATATTTATGCAATCAGAACTGTTTCTCTCAGTGGGGGTATTTCAATCACTTCACATGCTCCTTCACCTCTGGCTTTCTCCCTAGCTCAACCACATCACTCTTCGATTAGTGTCTGCAGTGAGAACACTTTAAAAGCTGTATGAAATGCCTTGAAGCTTTGGCATTTTCCTATCTTTCATTTATGCATTATTACCAATTTGTTGCTAAGTCCAATTGATTCTCCAAGAAGTCTTTCATTTGTCTACACAGATAGATGAAAGAGTTCTGAAATTGAAGACAATTCTGAAAACCCACAACTCTTGTCATAGCTGAGATGAGTCCGATAAAGGAAATATAAGATTAAATTCTTACCTTCTATGAGTTCAACTAATAAAATATCATTTGAATCACAAAATGACAATTTTCTCAATAAAGAAGCTTAGGATGTTAAGTTTACTTAAACTTTCATTTCTATAGTCTAGCAGATATATAAGCCACAATAGATAGCTTGCTGATCACTTTGCAATCCAAATAACATATGTCATTGTAACTTGGTAATTTAGAAATGATTGTATATAAATGCAGATTTGTTTGATGGAAACATGAATTTCAAAGCCAATACAGATTAATGTGTTTTGGGGTGACAACATGGGCACTAAACACCTAACAATACACTTAAAGAAAATCAAATTTTGTAAAGTAGAAGAATGGGTCATGAATACTAGGTCAGACAGTAGGATTGGGAGATATATTGTATATAATTTTATTTAAAAACAATTATCTTACAAGTTCTACATTAGTTGAGATGGGCCTATCTGCATATAATTTGTGAAAAAACTTGTATATTAAAGATCTCCTTGATCTACAAACCTCAGGTCTATCAATATTGAGAAATGTAATGCCTCCTAATATTGCTTCACTATGGACATTTTAATGGGCCCATACATACATATCTATAAAAATATCCAGATGGGAATGAATATCTCTATGTACCTAATATTTCAGAAAAGTTTAGGAGCTAGTCAGAGACTTGAATTTATTATCATTTCCATTTAGTTTAAAAAAGAGAACAAAGCAAACTTTCAAATGAGCACTGTTTATTTATGGATCTGAGGTGAACCAAAGAAGGGAATACAATTCTGAAAACCCACAACTCTTGTTTCATTCATGCTCATATTTTTGTGGCCACACAAATTCCCCATAATTATGCTGGTGCTAGAAATACTTTAAAATGATCATTTCCTATCATTGTAGGGGTTAGAGATGGATTAGCCCAACATATGGTAAGATGCAATGCCAAGCCACTGTGCTGAGGCATCGTTTTCAGCATCCTGACTGCTTTTAGTGTCTCAAAAGTCCTGGGTCAAGTGGTGCATAATTGGTGTCCTGAACCCAAACTGTATGGTACTAAAAATAGTGCAATCCTGGTTTGTTGTATATTTAAAATCAACACCACACCCTCTGGTTTTCAAAGGCACTCTTCACAGGTAACCCGGCAAAATTGGAAACTCTTATTTTTTTTTTAGTTATTTTCCTTTTTGTTTACAAATTTAAGGGATGGTTTGTTTTTCTCACAAGCTTTTTTGGTGCACGTCATGAATTTCTCTTTTTCCTCTGCAGTTTTACCATTATGATTATGCTCCAGTGTATGACATATTGCTCTAGTGACCCACACAGGTTAAGGTGCAGAAAATCTTCAGAAATTACCATTGATTATCAAGGTTTTTTAAAAACAATGGCCTCTGATGTTTATGAAGTCAAATTTTCCCCTACCAATTAAAGGACTCTGCAGTGCCACATGTAAACAGCTATCTGACAGTATTGAATCAGCTGTAATAGGACAGCCAGTGACCTTATCACTGATGGAATTGGTCAACAACTGATAAAACTGTCCACTTTTGTCTGTGAGTTAGCAAAAATACCAGAGCTCAATGTGCTACAGTGTTTGTTTTTATTATATCATTCTAGACTGTACCCAAATGATCCAAATGATTTTACTCTGTGTATATGTCTGCCTTAAAAGAGAACTTAGAAATAAACCTTATTTCCCTAAAAACAAACTTCTTATAGTAAGCAGTCTTTTTGACTGAATTTCAGTGAGAGTTGAATTTAGGTGTTTTATAGTTAAAATTTGATCTCCTTTAAATTATAATAGAAATTAAACTGAAGAAAAATGAATTTCTATATTTACCTGAACTGGAAATCGTTTTAAATGAGGATAAAAGTAGGCATGCTTGTAAAGATAATATCGTGGCCTGTACTTAAAGACCTGCAAAAACAAAATAAATGATATATTCATGTTTAATATGCAATAAATATACAGCAAGTATAATCAGGCCAAGGAAGTATGCTAAAATTAATTACCCCATTTTCTTCAGAATCCTCTATTTTGACTCTTCGATGCAAATTTTTCATCTGTTTTAAAGAACATTTAATTATTGCATAATTTTTCTTTTACATAAAAAGACAAAACTGAAAATAACTGTGGGTTTTGATAAAGAACTTACTGAGAAAGCACAGGCCATTCCCAAAATGCTGAGCAAAATTAAAGCAGTCTTCATTTTGGTGATTGCTTCTGGAATTAATGAAGTGGTAAGGTTAATAAAATATTAAAACTAAGAGCATAACTTTTTTACTCATATTCAAAGATGAAGTATTTAATTTGTTTTCATTTCTGTGTAATTATCACTTTGACTAATTAAAACTAAATTATTCCTTTTATTTTCAAATTATTCCTTCCATTTAAGTAATATAAGACTGACTTAACCCATCCGTTTAAATAATCTTGAGTTCCATACTTGGTTTTAACCTATTTTTTGTGATTTCTCAATGGAAGACCTTTTCATTACTGCAAGAGATTTTGACTACTTAGGGTACTTCACACTGGCGTAATGGCCCTCTTAATATTGACATGGAGTGTCAGCTAAGTGAATTGAATTGTTAGTGTAGTTGTGTGCCCTGTTTGTTTGTTTACAATTAAAAACTCGACCAGGTATGGTGGCTCATGCCTCTAAAACCAGTACTTTGGGAGGCCAAGGTGGGCAGATCGCTTGAGTCCAAGAGTTTGAGATGAGCCTGGGCAACATGGTGAAACTTGTCCTCTACAAACAGTGCAGAAATTAGCTTGGCATGGTGGTGCACACCAGTAGGCCTAGTTACTCGAGAGGCTGAGCCTGGGAGGCCAAGGTTGCAGTGAGCCGTGTTCATACCACTGTACTCCACCCTGGGCAACAGAGTGAGATCCTGTCTCAAAAATAAAACAAAAAAGCAAAAATCACTGATACCCTATAGGCGGTTTCCAGCTTCTATATAGGTTTTGGGCTAAAAATTTATTTGTAAAATGGAAAGTAGGAGCAATTTTCCTCTGAACATCTTGGAATAATTGGTGTGTGTGTGTGTGTATATGCGTGTGTGTGTGTGTGTGTGTGTGTGTGTGTGTGTATGGGTGGGTGGATGAGAGACAGAGACAGAGAGACAGAGAGGATCCATAATATATGAAATATCACACTGACATCATGTAGCACGCAACAGCAACTCCGCTAAGGATGCTTCCATGAGGAGTTCTTCAGAGTTTCGCCTTGAGATATCGGGGGCAGATTTCCTCAAATTAATTTGCTCTCCAGCTCCATTTAAGCTTTCCATCTGCTAGTGTATGAGACTGTACTGGGATGGATTAGGGGCTCTCCAGGGTTAGGGTGACAGACATGGATGAAAATTTCAATTCTATGGAACAATCGAAGATGCAGCTCTCAAAGTGGGAATAGGGCCTGAATAATCTTGGGGATTGCAGCCATAAAAAGAGCCTCAGTTCCACATAAATTCCTCATGAGTAAAAGGAGATAGTGAAATGCTATCCTATCTTAATTTTATTCTATTTAATAAAATTGTATTTAAAATTATATCATAATAGAAGTTGGGCAAGCTTAGCTGAAAGCCTACTAACACTCAGCCATTTACATTTACATACACATTTAACTGTTAGCACCTTCTCATACACAGTCACAGCTTTGGCAATATTTTGGAAGCAAAATGTAGTGGTGATGGCAATTTCCCATGAATACATTTTGAAAATAATACTTAAAATGTGCAAACCAATGTCATATATTGAAACCTGCTGGTAAATTGTGTATTGTGTCATCATCAGCCAAGATTTATTGCATCCTTACTGAGTATCTGACACTAAGTCCTGGAGATACTGTCTTGGGTCCTAAGTCACACTCTTTTTGTGTGTCAGAGTGAGTCTTTGGGTTTTGGTGCCCAGACAGTTTCTCACAGTCCTATCTTAGTAAAAGGTCTTGATGGCCCCTTGGGAATAAACAGGCTTTGCTCCTGAAGGAGCCCATCTTTTTAAGCAGCACTGATTTCTATCGGGGTGGTCTAAATAATGCTTTGAACTTTGCCAGCCGTGACCAAGCCCATCAGCAAAACAGAAAGATTATTGCTTTGCCACTTTGTGAGAAGGGTCGGAATATTTATAATATTTTAAAGAGCTAAAAGCTTAGATACATAGAATTATAGAAATAGTTTTGATTACACAAATTTCTCATAACAATAAAAATAACCAGATGAAAAGATGGCATAAATAATAATAATAACAATACAAAGAACCAAGTAGTTCTTGTAGTCAGGATTGGCTGCCTATATAAATCTAATTTTATTTACTTTGTGAGTCAACAAAAAGCCAAGACCTCTATAGTGACCACTACTAACCCAGACAACAATTCAAACATTCTTAAAGGAGAATTTTGAGGATTTAATTTCAAGTTTTATTGGGAAGGGTATGATAAACTACCAAGAGTATTTATTTCTCTAGTTAGTACAATATATTTTCTGTTCTGACTTTAGAGCTATAGGAAACATCAAAACCTAATGTTTAATATGTTGAAAAGACAACATATGTACTTGAAGTACAGACTAGGTATAATTTGTAGAGAAATATGCATATATCTAGCCAGATTTGCAAATGCAAAATAGTATTTCAATCAGGTTATCTTGAATGCATCAGAATGAGAAAACAAACAGTTAAGCTATGATTTGCAGAGAATGAAAGTAAGAAGCATAATGTAGTTTATGTGCATAGTATTAAGAACTTATTTACATGCTTAGGTTAATAAGTTTAGCCTTTTGGAAAGAATTTAAAATCTGAAGTGCCAGTTTAATGATAAATAATTATTAAACCATGTACAATGCAATAACATCATTTAAATGAAAAATTCAAAGCCAAGTTCAGAGATGTAAACTATGGAGTGTCTAATTTTATGATAATGAAGTTGTTCTATTAAATCTTACCCTCTGGCAGTCCTGGAGTGAGGAAGCAGGCTCAAGGCAGTGAGTGGCACAGATTGAGTATTTCCTCTGCCCTCTCACTCACTCATTCACTTGCTCTTGCTGGCTATAAACTCTTCTTTGCCTTCCAACAGCCAATCACTGTCACGACCAAGGTGATGTCAGAACGTGGATTCTCACCAGAAAACCCCCAAACTTCAACACTTTTTCAAGACACAGGCTCAGTTGAATAAACAAGAAACGTGATTCTAGAGCCAAGAGGTTTGCATTGTGGAATTTAATTGAAGGTTTAGATGAAGATGAATAGTTTGGGCTCCGAATATGTATAATAATATACTGGATTTGAATTAAAATAAATAACAAAGGCTTTAACCTTTTAAAAATTTCATAATTATACAAGTTTTCACTATGTCGAAAGAAAGGAAAGCTTGCTGTCATTAGATATAATTTTACATTAGTTTAGCTAAAAAAAGAAAGAAAAACTAAATAATAAGGGAAAGGAGCAGATGAACCATCAATATTTTAATATCATTTGATGTTTCCTCCTGAAATATACTTCATTGACTCATAAATTAAAGTTGATATGATTAAGTCGGTCAGACTTTGTAAGATATAGTTGCTAAAACATGATGCTGAGTATAAAAGTTAGAACTTTTGAGAATCATACCACTGAGAGGCAGATTTTATATTTTGTTTTGTAAATTAAATCTCTGTATATTGTCCATTTATGTGGCCCTTCCTGTCGTGCATGTGAGGTCAGCTCATTTTTTTCTTGGGCTTCTATATATATCTTTTCTATTCATTTTCATATTTAATTTTTTTCCTATGAGAATAACAAAATGACTAGAGCTAGCAGGAGTGATCCATTGTTTTTGAAATGATTCATGAAACCAACACCACAAAGAATGGATTGATAAACTAAAGTACTAATTTTTTAATTTACAAAGGGAAATCTAGCTTAATAGTTTGCATATTCTCCTAGTCTAGTCATTTTATTCTTCCTCCAGTTGCGAAGTCTGCTTGAGAAATCAAAAATTAATGAATATCATTTTTTTTCTTTTTTTCTCTTAATTTTTTTTATTATTATACTTTAAGTTTTAGGGTACATGTGCACATTGTGCAGGTTAGTTACATACGTATACATGTGCCATGCTGGTGTGCTGCACCCACTAACTCATCATCTAGCATTAGGTATATCTCCCAATGCTATCCCTCCCCACTCCCCCCACCCCACAACAGTCCCCAGAGTGTGATGTTCCCCTTCCTGTGTCCATGTGATCTCATTGTTCAATTCCCACCTATGAGTGAGAATATGTGGTGTTTGGTTTTTTGTTCTTGTGATAGTTTACTGAGAATGATGGTTTCCAATTTCATACATGTCCCCACAAAGGACATGAACTCATCATTTTTTATGGCTGCATAGTATTCCATGGTGTATATGTGCCACATTTTCTTAATCCAATCTATCATTGTTGGACATTTGGGTTGGTTCCAAGTCTTTGCTATTGTGAATAATGCCGCAATAAACATACGTGTGCATGTGTCTTTATAGCAGCATGATTTATAGTCCTTTGGGTATATACCCAGTAATGGGATTGCTGGGTCAAATGGTATTTCTAGTTCTAGATCCCTGAGGAATTGCCACACTGACTTCCACAATGGTTGAACTAGTTTACAGTCCCACCAACAGCGTAAAAGTGTTCCTATTTCTCCACATCCTCTCCAGCACCTGTTGTTTCCTGACTTTTTAATGATTGCCATTCTAACTGGTGTGAGATGGTATCTCATAGTGGTTTTGATTTGCATTTCTCTGATGGCCAGTGATGGTGAGCATTTTTTCATGTGTTTTTTGGCTGCATAAATGTCTTCTTTTGAGAAGGGTCTGTTCAAGTCCTTTGCCCACTTTTTGATGGGGTTGTTTGTTTTTTTCTTGTAAATTTGTTTGAGTTCATTGTAGATTCTGGATATTAGCCCTTTGTCAGATGAGTAGGTTGCGAAAATTTTCTCCCATTTTGTAGGTTGCCTGTTCACTCTGATGGTAGTTTCTTTTGCTGTGCAGAAGCTCTTTAGTTTAATTAGATCCCATTTGTCAATTTTGTCTTTTGTTGCCTTGCTTTTGGTGTTTTAGACATGAAGTCCTTGCCCATGCCTATGTCCTGAATGGTAATGCCTAGGTTTTCTTCTAGGGTTTTTATGGTTTTAGGTCTAACGTTTAAGTCTTTAATCCATCTTGAATTGATTTTTGTATAAGGTGTAAGGAAGGGATCCAGTTTCAGCTTTCTACATATGGCTAGCCAGTTTTCCCAGCACCATTTATTAAATAGGGAATCCTTTCCCCATTGCTTGTTTTTCTCAGGTTTGTCAAAGATCAGATAGTTGTAGATATGTGGCGTTATTTCTGAGGGCTCTGTTCTGTTCCATTGATCTATATCTCTGTTTTGGTACCAGTACCATGCTGTTTTGGTTACTGTAGCCTTGTAGTATAGTTTGAAGTCAGGTAGTGTGATGCCTCCAGCTTTGTTCTTTTGGCTTAGGATTGCCTTGGTGATGCGGGCTCTTTTTTGGTTCCATATGAACTTGAAAGTAGTTTTTTCCAATTCTGTGAAGAAAGGCATTGGTAGCTTGATGGGGATGGCATTGAATCTGTAAATTACCTTGGGCAGTATGGCTATTTTCACGATATTGATTCTTCCTACCATGAGCATGGAATGTTCTTCCATTTGTTTGTATCCTCTTTTATTTCCTTGAGCAGCGGTTTGTAGTTCTCCTTGAAGAGGTCCTTCACATCCCTTGTAAGTTGGATTCCTAGGTATTTTATTCTCTTTGAAGCAATTGTGAATGGGAGTTCACTCATGATTTGGCTCTCTGTTTGTCTGTTGTTGGTGTATAGGAATGCTTGTGATTTTTGCACATTGATTTTGTATCCTGAGACTTTGCTGAAGTTGCTTATCAGCTTAAAGAGATTTTGGGCTGAGACAATGGGGTTTTCTAGATATACAATCATGTCATCTGCAAACAGGGACAATTTGACTTCCTCTTTTCCTAATTGAATACCCTTTATTTCCTTCTCCTGCCTGATTGCCCTGGCCAGAACTTCCAACACTATGTTGAATAGGAGTGGTGAGAGAGGGCATCCCTGTCTTGTGCCAGTTTTCAAAGGGAATGCTTCCAGTTTTTGCCCATTCAGTATGATATTGGCTGTGGGTTTGTCATAGATAGCTCTTATTATTTTGAAATATGTCCCATCAATACCTAATTTATTGAGAGTTTTTAGCATGAAAGGTTGTTGAATTTTGTCAAAGGCCTTTTCTGCATCTATTGAGATAATCATGTGGTTTTTGTCTTTGGCTCTGTTTATATGCTGGATTACATTTATTGATTTGCGTATATTGAACCAGCCTTGCATCCCAGGGATGAAGTCGACTTGATCATGGTGGATAAGCTTTTTGATGTGCTGCTGGATTTGGTTTGCCAGTATTTTATTGAGGATTTTTGCATCAATGTTCATCAAGGATATTGGTCTAAAATTCTCTTTTTTGGTTGTGTCTCTGCCAGGCTTTGGTATCAGAATGATGCTGGCCTCATAAAAAGAGTTAGGGAGGATTCCTTCTTTTTCTATTGATTGGAATAGTTTCAGAAGGAATGGTACCAGTTCCTCCTTGTACCTCTGGTAGAATTCGGCTGTGAATCCATCTGGTCCTGGACTCTTTTTGGTTGGTAAGCTATTGATTATTGCCACAATTTCAGATCCTGTTATTGGTCTATTCAGAGATTCAACTTCTTCCTGGTTTAGTCTTGGGAGAGTGTATGTGTCAAGGAATTTATCCATTTCTTCTAGATTTTCTAGTTTATTTGCATAGAGGTGTTTGTAGTATTCTCTGATGGTAGTTTGTATTTCTGTGGGATCGTTGGTGATATCCCCTTTATCATTTTTTATTGCGTCTATTTGATTCTTCTCTCTTTTCTTCTTTATTAGTCTTGCTAGCGGTCTATCAATTTTGTTGATCCTTTCAAAAAACCAGCTCCTGGATTCATTAATTTTTTGAAGAGTTTTTTGTGTCTCTATTTCCTTCAGTTCTGCTCTGATTTTAGTTATTTTTTGCCTTCTGCTAGCTTTTGAATGTGTTTGCTCTTGCTTTTCTAGTTCTTTTAATTGTGACGTTAGGGTGTCAATTTTGGATCTTTCCTGCTTTCTTTTGTGGGCATTTAGTGCTATAAATTTCCCTCTACACACTGCTTTGAATGCGTCCTAGAGATTCTGGTATGTTGTGTCTTTGTTCTCATTGGTTTCAAAGAACATCTTTATTTCTGCCTTCATTTCATTATGTACCCAGTAGTCATTCAGGAGCAGGTTGTTCAGTTTCCATGTAGTTGAGCGGTTTGGGTGAGATTCTTAATCCTGAGTTCTAGTTTGATTGCACTGTGGTCTGAGAGATAGTTTGTTATAATTTCTGTTCTTTTACATTTGCTGAGGAGAGCTTTACTTCCAAGTATGTGGTCAATTTTGGAATAGGTGTGGTGTGGTGCTGAAAAAAATGTATATTCTGTTGATTTAGATTCTTTGGATAAGTCATCTTTTCTTTCATAAAAGTTACTTGGAAAATACAGACTCATAAAAAGAGAAGTTGGATACACTCTTTCAATTTAATTCAACCCCATCAATTTAGTTGAATTTACCAAACCTTGAATTATAGAGCTTTTCACTGAACCATACTATGATATAAGATATGAGAAGAAAAACAAAAGAAAATGATTTCTGTCTAAAAATTTCACAGTTGTGCAAGGCAGATAGACATATAGCCATGGGATGCAGTAACCTTAAATTATAGAGCTTTTCACTGAGCCATACCATGATATAGAATATGAGAAGAAAAACAAAAAAATATGGTTTCTATCTAAAAATTTAACAGTTGTGCAAGGCAGATAGACATATAGCCATGGGATACAGTAACTTAAATATCTACAAGGTTCCGAGGCGCTATGGAATGAGAGAGGTTTACTACTAATTGGCAAAAGAGCAGTGGAGCTGGGCCCTTACACAAGAGTAAGAATTTGCTAGCTTGTCAAGAAGGAGAGGTTGTCAAGAAGGAGGAGAGAAACATTATTAGGAATGTGTTCAAAGGTTATAAAGGCATATGAAACCACATAACAACACCACCCTGTATTTACTGAGCGAGGGCTCACATGCGAATTCTTCACCTGCACTATTTCTTTCATTCTTCGTACACATAGAAAACAATTCTTTGAGATTATTCCCATTACAGAGGTGAGGTATATGAGACACAGTGCTGGTAAGTATGCCTTGTATTGCACAACTAGTAAATGGGGAAATTCAAGGATCAAAGTCAAGTATGTCTAATTTTAGAGCCCACATTTTAATCACTACATATTCTTGCTGGCAGACCCAGAAAACTTCAATAATTCAATAGACTGGAATATTGTGAGTGAAAGTAGTGACACATGAAGTTGGTCAGATAGGCAAAGCCAGATGATGGAGGGACCTGTCTGTCACACTAAGGAGTATGAACTCCATCATGAAAACTGAGAAAAATAACATATTCAGATTTTCAGCTGGAAAAATCTTTTGTTAACAAGGCAGCAGTGACTGAAGAAGGCAAGATTGTTATGGAGAAGGGCAGCTTACAAAGGCTAATCATAGTGGTCCAATAAATCAACAATAAAGTCTGAAATAATGTAGTGACAGTGGGAGTGGTGAGGAGGGAACAAATGAGAGTGATGTAAAATAGATACAGTCAGTAGGACTTAGTAGAAGTAAGAGAGGTGGAGAAGCCTAGGATGACTTCTGGATTTCTGGCTTGGATAATTTTGTGAATGGTGCAACCATGTCTTATGCAATGCCGAATAGACCACCTGCTATGTTCTAGTCACTTAGCAAGCTTTTTTTGATAGTAACATGATATAATGAAAGAGGTAGAGACTGAGACTCAAAAGTCTGAGGTTTCAGTCTTGACTCTCCCACTAATTTGACTCTACCTCTTAACCATTCTGAGACTTCAATTTAAACCATCTTTAAAAAATAAGAGAGTTTTCACCAAAAAGAAGAAACCAGGCATTATGTGTACCTTCACACTCATGGAGCATTCTGACCAAATAAATGAACTTGAATCTGATCAGGCCTCTATATCTACCAGGTTAGAGGAAATACAAGGATAGAAGAACATGTAAAATAAGACCATTGAGACACATTCAGGAAAATCCAGAACATGGGAAACTTTATTAGATGCATTACTTCATTTCTTCAATAAAATAGAAGGAAAAATAAAAAAGAAGGAAAGGGAAACTCAAATTATAAAGACTTTAGAGACATTTCTAAATAAATTATGAAAGAATTGGAGAAATGTTGAATGCTAATCAGCATTTTATAGTATTAAGGAATGATTGTTATTATTAAGGAATTATATTGGTATTAAGTAATTAAATAAGTATATAATTAAGTATATATTAGTATTAAGGAATAGTATCATCACACCTAAAACTGATGTGATGATATTATTATTATTATTGTTATTTGGTTTTGAAAAGAATTCTTGTTTTTCAGAGATAAAATAGTTATCTGAGGGTGGAGAAATGATTAAAGATTGGCCATAAAATGATAATTGTCAAATTGTTAATGAATTAATGGTAAGTCATGATATTTATCTCCACTTTTGTATATGTTTGAAATGATCTATAAATAGTTTTTTAAGGAAATGATAGAACTATTATAGGTGACCTCTAAGACTGTTTCAATTTATAATATACTGTGATACCTTATTTTCAATACATCATTAACCCTAGCAAACTTTTCCAACAGTCGTCTAGCTACTAAATTGATTAGATTTATTCATATATGCTCATTAAAGCATTTTTTTCTAAGGAATAGTACTATCACAGTAAGAATCACAGATCCTTACTAACTTTGCTATTTCTCTAATCAGGACTGTCCCAACAACACTTTTTACTGAAGTTCTCATGATCATATCATTCTTCTTCATTTAAACAGGTGATAAATTGATTCTCTTAGATGGTATGTGAACATAGATTCATTTCATTGGCCCGCCATGACCAACTGCTCTGTAAGATGAATCCATTCTGGCAAAACCCCACACTCACTGTAATGTACCTGCCACATATACTCAGTTGTCAAATCCTATTAATACCACTTTCATGTTTCCTTTAGAATCCAACCTTCTCCCTTCTTTCCTGTCAGTTCTGTCTTTGTTCAAGTTCTCATTACTACTTTCCAGGCTACAGTAGTAATATTCTAATCCCAGGCACTTGCCTATATCCCCTTACAATCAATTCTATGGCTATAGGATTTGGAATCAAATATTAAAATCTTAGTGCTGTCTTTTGCTAGCTTTTATTTTTTAAATTTTCAAACTTTTTCAAATTTTATTTTATCTTGGAAAGAACACTTAATATGAGATCTACTGTCTTAAATTGTTAAGTGTACAATACAATACTGTTCAGTATAGGCACAATGTTATACAGCAGATCTCAAGAACTTCAGCATTTCGCGTTAAGTGAGAGTTTATGCCTATTGATTAGCAACTTCTCATTTTCCTTTTCCACTAGCTCTGGACAACCACCATTTCACTCTTTGATTCCATGAGTTTGACTATGTTAAATATCTCATACAAATGGAATTATGCCACATTTGTTCTTCCGTGATTGGCTTATTTCACTTAGCGTAATGTCCCCAAAGTTCATCCATGTTGCCTCATATTTCAGACTTTCCCTCTTTTTTAAGGTTGAATAATATTCCATTGTATGCATATACCACATTTTCTTTATCCATTTATTCACTGATGGACATTTAGGTTGTTTCCATATCTAGCTATTGTGAATAGTGCTGCAACAAACATGGGGTGCTAGTATCTCTTTGAGATTGGATTCAGATTCCTTTGGGTAAGTACCCAGAAGTAGGGTTGCTGTATCATATACAGACAATCCCCAACTTACAATGGTTTATGACTTTTTTGACATTACAATGAGTGAAAGTGATACATTCAATAGAAATCATACTTTGAGCACCCATACAGCCCTTCTGTTTTTCACTTTCAGTACAGTATTCAATAAATTACATGAGATATTCAACACTTTATTATAAAATAGTCTGTATGTTAGATGATTTTGCCTAACTATAGGTTAATGTAAGTGTCCTGAGCACATTTAAGGTAGGCTAGGCCAAGCTATGATGTTCAGTATTAAATGCATTTTTGACTTAATAATATTTTCAACTTACAATGGATTTATCAGGATGTAACCCCATCATAAGTTGAGGAACATCTGTAGTTCTATTTTTAATTTTTTGAGGAAACTTTATTCTATTTTCTGCAGCAGCTGCAACATTTTGCATTCCCACCAACAATGTACAAGGATTCCAGTTTTTCCACATCCTTGCCAACACTTGTACGTTTTGTTTTTATAATAGCCATCCTAACTGGTATGAGGTGCTATCTCACTGTGGTTTTTATTTGCAATTTCCTCATGATAAGAGACATTGAGTGTCTCTTTATACATGTGGACCAAATGTATGTCTTATTTGCAGAAATGTCTATTTAAGTCTTCAGCCAATTTTAATTGAATCATTAGGTTTTTAAAGTTGATTTGTAGGAGTTTAAACATATATTTTGGAAATTAACCACTTATTAGATACATGGTTTGCAAATAGTTTCTCCCATTTCATAGGCTGCCTTCTTGCTAGCTTTTGACTTTGGGCAAAGCTCCCTCAATCTAAAAATATCTAGACCCTAGCTCCCTTTCCAAACTCATTTAGTCTTCCTTGCTTGCTAGAATACATTTCAAGATGCCTTATATAAGACTCATGAATAGCCAAGACTGAAAAAGGAGATAAATACTTTTCAAACATATTTTCATGTAAAGTCTCTTTGCAGCTCTTATTTGAAAGCTTAAGAAGCTAGAATTTTTTGGATTCTAGCTTAGAATGACATAATTTTTATGTCAAAATTTTATATGATGAAATTTTTCTATCAGAAAAATGTTAAAATATTGGCTATGCTAACATTATATTTATCTCTAAACTCTCTGCTATTTCTTTCATATCCTCTACATCCAGCTTGCTCTCTGAAACCAAAACGTAGTATCTAGTTTGGGCACCAACCCTCACCTTTACAGTATTCTGCTGAGCTGTCTGGACATCACTATAATTACTCTTTAATCCTCCATTACTAGACCCTTTGATAGGCAATCTAAGAACATTTCATGCCCCTTTAACCTCCTAATTTCCAGTATGCATTCTGCCTTCCATCCAGCCTTATCTGCTCAAACTTTGCCTAGTTTTTCCATCACTAAGTATCTAGGTCTATGACTTTATACAATCAGTCAACTACTGTTATTTATTGAGGGCTTGTAAGTCTGAGTGGTGAGGGATAAAAGAGACAGGTTTCATCCTGGGAACTTAAAGGAATCACAGCTCTACCTCTTCTCTTTTGTCCCAGGTCTCCCCTGTTTAAGTGAAGGTCAAGTAGTGCTCTTCCTAACCCCACCCAATTTCCCTGCAAAACCTTCATGTATTCCGTAAGCCAGAAATAACAAATACCAAACTTGTACCTACTATAGATGCTTATTAAGACCATCATGTTCTCTTACTATAATATTGTGTCCTTATGCGGTGGTGGTGGTGGTGGTTGTGTGTGTCCATGTCATCTGTTTTTTATTGTGATTTACTGAAGGGCAAGGATTGCATCTGTTTAAATTGCTTTATATGGAGTCAGGGAAACCACATCTATGGTTATTTACATGAGACTAGAAGGTCTCATAGAATTTGACATCAGGTGAATTAGTAAGACGTCTCAATTGAGTCCTTGCCCTTTCTAAAAGAGAGGTCGAAGTTTAACACACAACACTGTTTGCAGATGATAGATCTGAGGGCAGAGTACTTGTAGACTCTTCTCTTGATGTGATTCCTGTAGCCAAAGGAAAGCTCTTGAATTCATTTTTCTCCTTCCCAATCTTCATTATTCAAGATTTAGGAATCTCGAATAAGCGAATGAAGGTTAAATCTTGCTGGATCTATCTGTAGCCTTCCCAGGCAACTTTCTCTCCCAACTGTATTATCGATTTCTCCCTATTGGCTCTTTTTCATTGGCATTTAATTTTCAAGTCTCTTCCATAAAACAAAGAAACAAAAACGCTCTCTTGCTCATACACATTTACACCTAGTTTCTCATAGATCGCTTGCTTTCTTTTCACAGCCAAGCTTCTACAAACTTGCCAACATTTGATGACTTAATTTCTTCACCATCTACTCACTCCTCAACCTACTGCAATATCACCTTTGCCTCCACAACTCTGGAAACAGGTACCAATGACTTCTTTCTTGTTAATCTATGAGTTTTTGCTTGTTAACTGGAATGGACACTTTTCAGTCACTTTCCTACATGGTTTCTATGGCAGTTCACACCACCAACTGTTTCATCCTCTTTCAAAAGCTCTACGTTTCCACCATACCTATGGTACTGCACGGTCTGATTTTCCTCCTCCCTCCCTTCGTGCTACTTCTCAGGTGCTTCTATATGCTGTTCTTTCTTTGTGTTCTGATGTTCACATTCTCAGGGCTCTGTCCTTGTCCATTTCCTCTTCTCATTCTGCAGTCTCCTTGGATGACTCCTCTCATTCTCATGGCTTCAGTTACACATCTGTTACTTTAATACAGATTTTCCTCTTTTGCTTCAGGGTCACATATCAAACTTATAATGGAAATCTCCACCTGCAAGTTCCAAAATTATCTCAAATTCCCAACTATCATTTTTCCTGTATTCTTTGTCCATTTGGTCAAGCTGGAAGTATGGTTGTCATCCTAATCACCTACCTGTTCCTTAACCCTACCTGCTCAATGTAGGCCTGTCCATTCCTGTCAACTCTACACCCCTCGAATCTTACTACTCTCTATATCACTACTGCTATTATTTTATTTGAGGCCACTATTGCCTCATCTGAGTTAATACAAGAGCCTCTTTATTGTCTTCCCTTCAATCCATTTTTCGCACTGTGGCCAAAGCAAACTTTCTAAAATACCACTAATATATTTTAAATTTCTGCTTAAAGTCTTCCATGACTGGGATACACTCAGGATACAATATCAGCTTCTCAGAGTTTCCTAGAAAGCCCTTCATGATCTGACTCTTACATACGATTCCAGGCCCACCCCTTTTACATCTGTCCCTCACAGTAAGCTCAGTCATTTAAAAATATTTCACTTCCTTCTTCGCACCTCGCATCTTTTTCTCAGGGTCTCTGCACATCCTACCTTTGTCTGTCTAACTCTGGTCTGTCCTTCAGGACTCAGTTCTGAAGTCACATCCTGCAGGAAGCCTGCCCCTATTCCCATCTCAACCATGGCTGGATCTACCTCTCCATACATTTCCGTAGCACCCCTGTGGTGGTGCTGAACCTTCTCTACTGTGGCTGGTCGCCTCTCTCTCATACCCTCTAGATTATGAGTTGCTGAGAATAGGAACAATATTTTATCTGTCATTATATCTCCAGCCAAAGTGCCTGAAGTATCTCCACACAGTGCCTGAATTAGAGCATGTATTCAATAAATATTCTTGAAATAATGCCTAATAAATAACGAATAGAAGACCATCTATTCCAGTGTTTCTGAACCATTTCTTTCATTATTGTTCTGCTAAAGAGCAAAATTTAATTTAATTTAAAGTCTCCTTATGGAGAGAAATTAAATACCAAGGGGTGGACAACTCCTTTGCAGATGAATTGGTAGAGCTCAGCAGAGCCCAGAGCACCAGGATACATTACTTTTCTTGAAGACCTCAAAAGTCTTGCCAAGAGCTAGTAGAGCGGACAGAGGCACTGAAAGCCTTAACTTTATGGCAGGCTTTGGCCAGTAAACAAAAACTACTCTGAAGGTAGACACATGTGCTTTGAAATGATTATCTTCCTAATATCATGAGAAAAAAATAGCAAATTTAAGTTATTTTTGTTGTGCTCTGATTTGCTATTCATTTGGTTTTTCTGTACAAATTCATTATTGTTTCTAGACTTTTGTATGACATGATGATAAACAATGAAATTGGCTTATAGTCTCAAGAAAAAGGAATAAGATTTTGTTGGATAGGGTTGAGCTTTGGAGGGCTATAAACAATTGTAATATCTAAGATTTTTTTGTACTCCTAAGAACCATTCCCCAATGGGACAATATTATTTTGAGAATGCAAGTCTATCAGTATTGCTTTTTGCTCTGAGAGATTGAATAAGAAGCTCGTAGCTCATCTGTAGGAACAATATTGATAGCCATTATAGAATGTGTTTTCTGAATAGGTTTGTAGCCAATGAAATTAAAGACCTATTTTAAAATGTGTAAAATTTTTTAAACCTCTCTTTCCTGCCAGATTTATACTCAAGGTATCTTAGTCAGTTTAGGCTGTGATAGCAGAATTCCATAGACTGGGTGGTTTAAACAACACACATTTATTTCTCAGAGTTCTGGAAGCTGGGAAATCTAAGAGTAAGGAGATGGCAGATCTGTGTCTGGTGAGGGCCCTCCTCCTGGTTTGCAAGTGGCTGCCTTCTTCCTGTACCCTCACATGGTGAGAAATGAATCTCTTCTCTCTTCCTACTTTTATGAAGGCATTAATCTCATCATGAGGCCCCATCCCATGACCTAACCTAATTCTAATTAACTGCCAAAGACTCCACCTCCAAATACCATTACATTAAAGATTAGGGTTTCAACATATGGATTTTGGCGGGGACACAGCATTCAGTCCAGAGCAAGGGACTCACTCTCATTTGACTCAAACTGAACAGCTTAACAAAATAGGATGAATGACTCTAAATCAACTGAAAAGAGAAATGTTATTTTAATCATATACAATATTCATCTAAACAAGCTACAAGGTTTCTACCTAAAATTAGCCTTCAGGAGGAGGGATTTGCCTTGCAAATTGTCTTACATATTATGGGACACTTGTTGACTTCCTTTATATTGAACAATTAGTTTAGGCCAAACTCTAGATTCTGATCTATTGCTTTATCTCTTTCAACCACTACACAAGCATAAGGGTAGTATCTCTGGTTTTTCACACTCTAGTAAATGCTGTACCTAAAATTGCCAAAACAAAAGGCGAATCAAATACGTCTGTGATTTTACCAATGATAAATGTGGCATTAAAATTTTTTTTTTCGGCTTTTCGTCTTCAGCTCTCCTTCTTCTCAGAAACCCCTGGGTTCTTCACAGATTCTCGCACGTCCAGACGCTGAGCCACCCCGCACCTAGGATGCTATGTGGAAGCCGAAGCCACACCTCCCACATGGCCCCTCTGGCCAGCCGGGCATCTCAGGTGAGAACTGCACACAGGCCCGCAGCAGCAGCTCCACCGCCAGCAGCAGCACCCTCTCTGCAGTTGGCTCTCCTGCTGCTGTGCCCTTGCAGCCAGGTCTGATGCCCAGATGGCAACCATAGCAGTTGGCGTGGCTGTGGGCTCTGCTGTGGGGCACACATTAGGTCATGCCATCACTGGAGGCTTCCATGGAGGAAGTAATGCTGAGCCTTGCAAGGCCCCACATCGCTTATCAGGAGCCTCAGGGAACCCAGCCGGCACAGGGGCAGGCTTACTTATATGAGATAAAGCCGTTTTTGGAATATGCTCAGAACCTGAGTGACATAAATCTCTGTAAGAGTTTCGATGAGGTGCTGAAACAGTGCAGACTTGCAAATGAGTTGGCCAAAGAAATGGAAAATTGGCTGTTATGACCAAGTTAGTTTAGTATAAAAATATAATTGGTAGTGAAGATATAAAGTGTAAAACCATCAGTTAAACCCCTTCTGTGTCATTCATAGCTTCCTTGCTGCAGAATTGAAATGGAAGAGAGTGTTCTTACTTTGTAGAATTTCATTAAGATGGGGTATACTTTGGGGCTGGGCAAATGTTTGTGTGGCCTCCTTCTACCAGCTATTATGATTTTATTCTTTGTGAGTTAATTAGAATAAAATGATTTTCTTCCAAAATTTTTGTTCCTGGAAACATCTTGTCATAATAATCCGAGCGTGTGCATTCTCAAAGCTTTTAATATTTTCATCAAACTCCTTCACACTATTGTTGTTGTTGTTGTTGTTGTTGTTTGAGGTGAAGTTTCACTCTGTCCCCCAGGCTGAAATGCAATGGCATGACATCGGCTCACTGCAACCTCCGCCTCCTGGGTTCAAGCAATTCTCCCACCTTAGCCTCCTGAGTAGCTGGGACTATAGGCGCATGCCACCATGTCTGGCTAATTTTTTGTATTTTTTTTAGTAGAGACGGGGTTTCACCATGTTGGCAAGGCTGGTCTCAAACTCCTGACCTCAAGTGATTCACCCACCTCGGCCTTCCAAAGTGCTCGGATTACAGGCATGATTACAGGCCACCGCGCCCGGCCTCACTAACTATGAAGTTAAAGAAGCAGTGCTTCACAGTTAGATGATTTCCAGGCTTCATTCTCATTCATTTATTCACTGAATACGTATTTATTGAGTCTACCAGGTGTCATTACATACTTTGTTCTGGGCTCTGGGAATATAATAGTGACAAAATCCCTCCATATATTTTAGTAGGGAGACAGATGATATATACAATAAATAAGCAATTATATAATGCTTAGAGTGTGATAGAGTAATAAGTGAAAAGTTAAAAAAAGGTCAAAAAAATAATGGAGGAGGGTGTTCAAAATCATCTACATTTGCCTTCAAATGAATCTAAACTGCGGTAAACTCATTTGATTTCTTAAGCTTCTGTTTGAATCCCCTCCCTCCTAATAGAGAATTATTCTCTTTCTAGTGGAATATTTTAGTTATTTTTAAATATGATTAATCTTAAGCATTGAACAAAAAAATTAAATATATGTATTCTTGAAAATTTCTAGACACAAGTTGGCCAAGAAACTTTTGGAGTAATCTTCTTACTGAGAAAATGGACATTGCTATTTATTCAAGGACATAGAGCAAGTGACAAAAGTAACTGTATTGGCATGCTTAGACATACCAGCCTTCCAGTAAACATGGTGGATTTCTTCCCCATTCTATACCAGCCACAGTGAAGGAAAAAACAAACAAACAAAAACCTTTTTCTACAAATGGACAGACGAGGGAATAATTTTGAACTTGCTCTTTATGTAACAATATTCTTCGACTCTCTGTATTTTCACCCAGAAACAAATTTTTTACTTACTAGAGAGGTTTCATGGTATTATTTGATTATTCAGTAACTTTTAGAATAACCTGAATGTTTCATGAGTGTTCATTTTATGGTGTTAAAATGCCAATTTTTTGAAATCAAATCAGCACATTCTTTGGTAAAGAACTGAGAAATCTGTTCTCAGAAATCATCATTTCAGAGGTTCCACAATTGACAAATATAGTCTTTTAGTTACTAGGTAGGTTATATTTTTGGTGTCCCCTAGGTTTTCCACTGCCTCGGACCTTCTGCAATGATGACAATAATAATAGTTTGTGATTCCACAAAAAACAAATCACTGCCAGTCTTCGGTTGTGGTCTTGTAATTTTGTACGATATGGCTCATTCTGTTGCATCAACCATAAAGGTTACAACACTCACTGGACCTCTGAGACCAGCTGGTCACTTAGTGGACATTTATTGAGAATTATAGTGATATTTTCTGCTTGAATGTGTCCAGTGTGGATTCTTAAGGATATCTGTGGCCTAGTGCATTCCAAGCAAGTTTCTCCCCCTTGAAAGAATAATCTCCTTAAGTATGTCTCATTTTCTTGTAGCTGATTTTTTTTTTCTTGACTAGGGTTTCTCTGTCCTAAAAATGTCTAGTTTTAGGGTTTTTTTTTTCTTTTTTTATGTTGACATTCTCTAGTTACTTAATTGCTTTTCTTCTATTCCCAAATAACTCTCTGCATTGCTGTCATGGTATTGCACATATAAAAAGAACTTACTAAGTAAGAGACTGATGAAATGACTGCTTTTGTGTGTGTGTCCCTTTTTGCAGAGGATGAGGTCTTCCTACTATACCATAACTTGACTAGGGATATAATTTCTGTCCTCCTCCTAATTCCTATCCACCATTCTAAATATTAAAATATCAGTTATTTAGATTCAAAATTTTAAATACCTACGAAATGCATCTGTTCGAGGGATTTTGAAAGTCAAGATGGTTATCTATGCCTTTGTACTCTCCAGGCATGGCCATGTTCAGAGGCAAAGGATGTGACAAACGTCTCTCTTTGGTTTTTAAAACTAAAACTTTTTAAACAATTTATAATAAAATCAAATAGAATAAAGTAATGATGAGTTAAAGGATAGGCCAACATCGGAATAAAATAAATTAGATTAAGCAAGAAATGTAACAACTCTGGAAAACATGAACTTTTCTCACTGTCATCACCACCACCATCAAAAATGTTAAAATGCCTATTTTCACCTGATACCTGGCAGTCTTCCTTCTGGAAGAAAAATAACCTCTATATTTAAAAAAATATGTTTCAATTTTATATAGAAATACCTAAAAATCTAGAAGTAGTCATTCCTTGATAGAAATATTGGCTCAAATGTAATAGTCAAAATAGGCCAGATTTAGTCTTCCATGGTATAAGGAAAATCTTAAGTACAATTATGGGATGATGGACTGGAGAGTTCATTAAAATTTCAAGTTTTGTGAAAAACACATGGAACTCATTTTTCTTTAAATGTGATGAGCTGGCATCAGGAGATGATGTCCTCTCTTGGTCGTGTGGTTTTACATCAAGGGTGGGGGTCAAAGGATTTGCCTACAATTTCAGGCTGATTCAAAACCAGACAAGTTCTCCTTGTAATTATGTTTTCCTGCAATAGCTCAAAAGCTCTGCTCCTCATTCAGATTCATACTTTATTAAGGTAAATTGGAAGAGTCTTTGCATATGTTGGTGCTACTGTATCAAACAGTGAGAAGCTGCCACCCAAGAGAAGCCAGAATTGGTCTTTGTGGTGAAACGAGTGTTGGCCACCATGAGAAACAGAAGTTTTTCATGAATTTGGGTGTTTTAAAATTGGTAGTAGATACTGTTCAAGGCTAGAGAGGAAAGTCACAAAAGAATAGGTTATTTGACAACAACAAAATCTAAAAGACTTCAATGAAGGCAGCAGAGTGGATCAAATGAGGCATTGGCTTGCATGGGGGCCGCTATCCAGTTCAGGGGACCATGGAGAAGTTATAAGCACAGTATCGGTGATAGCTAGGGTAACAGGTGCGAGCAAAGAAGGTGGCAGAAAAAGATGGACCTAATGGAGAAAGTAAATGCCTTATTGTGCCTAATCATAAGAAAGAAACTAAACACCTTACTCTGCCTAATCATAAGAAAGACACAAGAAAATTCAGAACTTGACAAAGTTCTTCCATGGCACTAGTGGGAGGAAAAAATTGCTTCATTCATTTCCTAAAATAAAATTTATATTTGAAGAAAGAGGGCGTTTGGTTAGCACAATATAGCCATTTGTTTCAAAATTTAAAGAAAGAACGATTGCAATTTTCTGAAACACATTCTTGCTAAGCTATAATATTCCATTGCTGCCTCTTCATTACTCCGCTTTCCATTTAAGTTACACTTGATATTACTATGTAATTTATAGCTAGATTTAATGTTGGCTGATTTGTCAATTGTCATTCACTTTATAATAAATGCAAAAGACATTTTAAACACTTGTGAGGTAATCATTATATGTCAGTTACTGTCATTTACTCTTTATAAAAACCATATCATAAATAGTAGGTTTTAATAAATACCTTGATCATAATGTAAAGACTTTCCATTGCATTGTTCAAACTTTGTTCTATAGGTATACCTAGACAGTGAAGGAGTCAACCCCAAGTTAATAAGGTAGTTCATTACTCACTCACAAGACTATTACTCACTCTAAGCAGAATAACGAACAAAACTGAAATTGATGTAAATCATACGTGTAAGTTTCAGAGCAATGCAGTTATTCACAACATGCTTGGGAAAAATGAGAGATGCCATTTCCTGGAGCACAGTGTGTTGTGGCCTTCTTTGATTATGGCAGAACATTGAATTACATTTTCTGATTAACATTATACTCTTTACATTGTCTTTTCTTTTCCATTAATTTTGAAGATAGGTCTAATTATTGTGACTGATATAAAAACTCTGAGTGGAAAAAGTTATGGGATAGAAATTGTTACTCTTAAACCTAAAATGTTTGCAGAGTTATGCTAAATGGTATTTATGCTTTTCAGTGCTTCTTCTGAATAGAAGTTAATAAATGTGACTTCTTATTAATGTTAAGAAGGAATGAGTAGAGGTTTGCAGTAAAAAACCTAAATTCTTCAACTTATATGAAATTACCAAGTTGACAAATCAGTCTTAGACAATAGCATTTTAACCTTAGAGCAGTAACAAGAAGGTTTACTTCTTTGACCATTGCAGTAATCAATTCACAGGAAACCTGGGAATGAAGTCAAATACAGGAAAATAAATTTTAAATGGTGTGGTGATTTTATTGATTATTTTTGAACATTTTAAAAATCAATAGACCACAGCTTCTGCAGTTAAAACTGAATAAGAAAGATTGAAATGAGAAGAGAAACGAGAGGGATTAGCTTTCTTGGAGAATTACATGGTCATGATTTTCACCCAGAATAGCTGCTACCCACACTGGACATTATTCAAAACTTTTATCCCTTCACCAGAGGACTATTTTTCTCTTCAATTCACATAACACCAGCAAGCTAGAGACTTACTTCTGTACCTAATGGCTGTGAAGTAGGAGATTTGTAGCCTCTTAATTTCAGCTTTTTCATAAGCTCCAAATTTATATTTCCACAAGCCAGTAGTAATAGAAGCCAGTTTTTCTCTTTGTTAGTCTTTGATATTACAGGCAACAGATGCTTCAAAGTTTCTTTCTTTTATCCATCCATCCATCCATCCATCCATCCATCCATCCATCCATCCATCATTTCACCACTTACTATGGACCAGGCACAGTGAAAAATGAATGCTGAAGATACAAAGATAATTAAAGCAAGACCTTTGTTCATATTTTTTTGTGAGGAGGCTCACCAGTAACACTTTAATATCCATATTCTGAGATGGCTAAACAAACCAACTGCAGTGCTTTTTATAATATTTCTTCACTTGACATTTTTTCTTTCTCAACAGACAGCAAGCTTATCAAAACTAAATCAAAGAAACACATTCTAGGAAACTTTAAAACGATTCCAGTGTGGGTGTTTAGTGTGAATTTAGTTGAAATGAGATATTTCTTTTTATTGTTTTAGACATATGAAGACTGCTTTCACCAACTCCTACATGAATTTATTTCATTTCCAGAGTACTGGAAATCAATTTTCCTGCCCTTTACTACAAGGTTTCTTCTATTACCTTACAATAGTGTTCACATTCACATTATTTTTGGAACCATACCAAAGTTCTAGGCACTACAAATGGAATTACTTTTTTCCACATTCACAGCAAGGGAAAGCCTTGTGGTCCCACATGAAACTTCTAGGTGCTCCTATATACATGGAGGGCGGTGGCCCAGCAGCTTCCAACCAACAGACAATGCTGAGGGGAAAACTATGGACTATTTTAAGCTTAACTCTGTAGATTATCTAACTCTAAAGAGTATGTTTTCTTTTTGTTTTCCCTCAAAATTATGTCATGTTGTGGCCCGTGGATCTGTTTGTGTCCATGTAAGGCAGGGTTGGTGCAGTAATCCAAACATATTCCATGCTGACAGATGCACTTAGCAGAGTTTCAAAGCTGATAGGGCTTAAGGAGGCACTAGAATATAGATTAACCCTTAAGCCTTTAACAAACTTAGTTTTTAAACCAAGGTATAAATACATATAATAAAATGCATGGATGTTAATTATATAGTTCAACCAGTTTTAATAAATGTTTATATCCCGATAAACACATAAAGCATTTCCATTACACTGGAAAGTTGCCTCACATCTTTTTCTGGTTTCTGTTTGCGAGAGACAACCACTATTCTGATTTTTATTCCATAGATTAGTTTGCCTTTTCTTGAACTTTATAGAAATAGAATGGTATAATAAGTTTCATTTTGAGTCTAACTTCTTTTTCTGAGCATAATACTTTTTGTATCTATTCATTTGCAAGCATGTATCAGTAGCTCATTGTTTTTATTGACAAATAGTATTCCATTACATAAAGATACCACAACATGGTTATCCATACTCCTATTGATGGACATTTGGTTTCTTTCCATTTTTTCTCTCATAAAAAAGCTGCAATGAACATACATGTGCCCATCTTTTTATGTCCAACATGTTTAATTTTAAATTTAAGTTATAATGAAGACAGAGCATTGACAAACTTTAGTCAAGTGGGTGCCTTGAGTAGATTCAGAGTATAAACAAGGTGGACAAGGATGAATGCAATGCACTCAGTAGGCTCCCTCAGCACAGGAAACACCAGGACTCACCAACAGCTCTACACGGTAGCGCTCTCACCTCAGCTCCCAGCACTTCCACCAGACTGCTTTGCGAGCTGTCATGGAAGTAAATAGACATCAGGTAGAGACGTACTGTGGAAAGGCATACTTGGAGCCAGACATACCTAGGTAAAGTCCTGACACAGTTCCCTAAGACAAAATAGTTGAGCTGAGCCCCAACCCTCAGTCTTCTCATCTATGAAATCATTTCCACCTTGATAGGTATAAAAATTAAATGGGATGTGCTAGTTAATGTCATGCCAAATTTAAGTTCTACAGAATGTCATCAGAGATATGGTAATTTATATATGTAAACATATATATACACAAACATATATACACAAAATAAATATACACATGTATATATATGTGTGTGTGAGTGTGTGTGTATATTAGACAAAATACATTCAGACTGCAATGTGAGCACTAGTTCATACTGTATAGATAGTGGGATGATTTAAATTTTAAAAACTTTTTTGTCTGTTTTATGTAGGTGATTCTGTGGTGAGCCCACATAAAGAAAGTTGATGCACTAAATTAAACATGCTCCAATGGATAACCTCCCTAATGTCAGTGGCTTAAAAAATAAATGTCCAATCTGCGTTTTTCCGGCTGGTGGTAGGATTAGTAGCTGTTCTCCATACCGTGCTATAGGCCAGCCAGGCAGGCTGTCCTATTGTCAGGCAGATGGAGTTCTGACATCTTCAACCTGTGGGCTTCCAAGTCACACTGGCCATAAACATGCAAATAGCAGATGGAGGAAAAGAGATAGGATCATGTTTTGGGAGATTTTATTTTGGGGAGGACCAAAACAGTACACATCATTTCCATTTATTTTCCACCAGCTGTAATTCAGTCACTTGGCAACAGCTGACTGACTGCAAGGGACGCTGGGAAATATGGTGCCACTGTAAGTATAGGAAGAAGAGGGAACAGTTGGTGGTCACTTAGCAGCACCTGGCATATAGCAAGCATTCCACGAATGTTAGTTTCCTTCTCCTTTCCTCAATAACTACTCATGGGAGGACTCCCATGGCCTTTTTTCTCAAGAACTATCTTCTTATTCCAAGTAGAGCCCATTAGTCTAGCATCTGAATTGCTCCCTAATCACACAGGAAAACCCCAGGATACATGTTGAAAAGGAATCAGTCATATTTTAGACATGGTACAGGAAAGTACAAACATAAATTGATATCTCTCACTAAGATTAAAGGAAGCTTTTGAAGCTAATTCTGTGCTTCATGACAACCAAAGTAAGGAAATATGAGCAAAGAGTTTGTAGTAGAACCCCTGAAAAGATTAAGATACCCTCCCATGTGATATTTAAATTTTTTTTAACTATAAGATACTTCAACAAACATTTTTCCATGATGTCTAATTTGATGCATTTTAAACAAAATTTGAAATAGCAAACCACTTAAAAAATGATTTTGATTAGCAAAGGCATGGAATCAACCCAAATGCCCATCAATAATATACTGGATAAAGAAAATGTGGTACAGATACACAATGGGATACTATGCAGCCATAAAAAGGAATAAGATCATGTTCTTTGCAGGGACATGGATGGAGCTGGAAGCCATTATCCTCAGCAAACTAACACAGGAACAGAAAACCAGACACTACATGTTCTCACTTATAAGTGGGAGCTGAAAAATGAGAACACATGGACACAGGGAGGGGAACTACACACACTGGGGCCTGGAGGGCATCAGGATAAATAGCTAATGCATGTGGGGCTTAATACCTAGGTGACGATTTGATAGGTACAGGAAACCACCATGGTACACTTTTACCTATAAAACAAACCTGCACATCCTGCGCATGTATCCCAGAACTTAAAATTAAATTAAATTAAATTAGAAAAAATGATTTTGGTGTCTTCACTCTGTTGGCATTGTTAAGTATCTGCTTAGCATAGCTGTTGGGTAAATCCAGCATTGATTATAGCTCCTGGGGGAACCAACAACAGTGTTAGCAATGATAAAAGCCAAACATTTTGGAAGGGTAGAGAAACTTCAATCTAAACTCTTAGAGGAATTTGTCCTGTAGATTTATATAAGGTACAGTAAAAGTAATAATAATTTACATACTTGTTGGTATTTAACCCCAAAACGAAGAGATGTTGAATACTTCTTAATGTGGATATGTAATGACCGGATGAAAAATACTTCAGAAAATTCTCTTCTCTCCTGATGACATATTCCTAGCTATCTCAATCCAGAAGTCGCATAGAAGTAGTTAAACCTCTGAGTCAATTATTGTCAGGAGAAACTTTTACATATTCATGATGCCAAAATCTACATAGTTAGATTTGTTTAATGTGCCTAACATCAAGATAGATAGTATTAAACTCAAAGATTAAACTAAAATGGTCATTGGAGTTTTATTTTTGCATTTAATGGACACTTTATGACCCAGTTCTCCTGGAAATTAAGCATTCTCCAAGGAGATTCTTTTATGTTAAAGGTTGGCATTTGGTTGACTCTTAGACTCAGACATTGAAGACCATGGTCATCTCTCACATTCTATGAATTTAAAAAAAAATTCTGATCATCCAAACAAATCTAAGTTTCCTTATCATAAAAGCCTTGACTGTAATCGAGGGGCCCCGTAATCAACACTATGAGGAGGCAGAATTCCCTGGCCAGAGAAGTCAGACCCTTGGTATTTCATAGCAAAGCACGGTCTTCTGCATCGTTGGCCCTGGTATCTAAAGCATCTGGTTTTTCTTCAAATAAAAAACATATATCATCTATTTTTAGGTGGAACCAGTGAGGCCAGGCATATCTTGTCTGCTGTGTAGATTACAGATCTACTCAAATGCCCAACTGAGACCATTAATATCAAAGGAACACATTTGAAACCAGGCTTAGTGGCTCACACTTGTAATCCCAGCACTTTAGGAGGCTGAGGCAGGAGGATGGCTTGAGCTCAGGAGTTCGAGATCAGCCTGGTCAACATGGTGAGACCTCCGTCTCTATTAAAATTTGTAAAAATTAGCCAGGCATGGTGGCACGTGCCTGTTGTCCCAGCTATTTAGAAGGCTGAGGTGGGAGGATTGCTTGAGCCCATGTGGTTGAGCCTGCAGTGAATCGTGATATCATGCTACTCCACTCCAGCCTGGGAGACAAAGCAAGACCCTGTCACAAAAAAATGAAAATTTAAATTTAAATTTTTTAAAAATCGAAATGATAATTATTCACTCACTTGTAGGCAGCTCCAGATTTATCCATATTTCTAGTCATATAACCAGAAATCCATTGCCTCCACAGACTTTTTATACAACTGAAACTTGCTATTATGCCCTCCTTAAATTTTAAAATATATTATTTTCTGACAATTGATACTACTAATTTTAGAGGGAAAAAGAGAAAATATAGTGAAGGGCAAGAAAGAAAGTTAAAATTATTCTTAAACTTACCACTTAGCTAACTGATGTTAAGATTGGGTGCGTGCCCCTCCAGTCTTTTAGTTATAGATGTAGTTAAAATACCCTCTGTACCTTTCTGATTCCTGTTTTCCCCCCACCCTTTACCCTCCCCTAATCATGTAACATTTGGCAGTACCTCTAGGGCTTCTCTAGATTATTAAAAATATTTTAAAACCTAATCTTTTATTGCTGCGTAATATTCTTCCACATCTATGTATCATAATTTCTTTATTCCTATTGTTGTATGTTTACATTAAAAAAAGTGTATCTTTGACTAAATTTCTGACGATTTCCTTAGTAAAGATTCCTAGAAATGGAATTACTACATCTGAAATCACACATATTTTTAAGTTCTAAAATTGATTATCAAATTACTTTTCAGAAAATTTGAACAGATGCAAATCTTTATAAAATAGCACATGGCTGTGCCTGTCACTGAACCCACAGTAACATTAAGTAGTATCAGAGTTTGTTTCCCGATAAAAGGCCTCTCAGTTTAAGGACCTCCATTTCTTTTGAATTGTTTTTTTGTTTGTTTGTTTTTATTATACTTTCAGTTTTAGGGTATATGTGCACAACGTGCAGGTTTGTTACATATGTATACATGTGCCATGCTGGTGTGCCGCACCCATTAACCCGTCATTTAGCATTAGGTATATCTCCTAATGCTATCCCCCCCACCTCCACCCCACAACAGGCCCCGGTGTGTGATGTTCCCTTCCTGTGTCCATGTGTTTTCATTGTTCAATTCTCACCTATGAGTGAGAACATGCAGTGTCTGGCTTTCTGTCCTTGTCATAGTTTACTGAGAATGATGGTCTCCAGCATCATCCACGTCCCTACAAAGGACATGAACTCTTCATTTTTTATGGCTGCATAGTATTCCATGGTGTATATGTGCCATATTTTCTTAATCCAGTCTATCATAGTTGGACATTTGGGTTGGTTCCAAGTCTTTGCTATTGTGAATAGTGCCACAATAAACATATGTGTGCATGTGTCTTTATAGCAGCATGATTTATAATCCTTTGGGTATATACCCAGTAATGGGATGGCTGGGTCAAATGGTACTTCTAGTTCTAGGTCCCTGAGGAATCGCCACACCGACTTCCACAATGGTTGAACTAGTTTACAGTCCCACCAACAGTGTAAAAGTGTTCCTATTTCTCCACATCCTCTCCAGCACCTGTTGTTTCCTGACTTTTTAATGATCACCATTCTAACTGGTGTGAGATGGTATCTCATTGTGGTTTTGATTTGCATTTCTCTGATGGCCAGTGATGATGAGCATTTTTTCATGTGTTTTTTGGCTGCATAAATGTCTTCTTTTGAGAAGTGTCTGTTCATATCCTTCACCCACTTTTTGATGGAGTTGTTTGTTTTTTTCTTGTAAATTTGTTTGAGTTCATTGTAGATTCTGGATATTAGCCCTTTGTCAGATGAGTAGGTTGCAAAAATTTTCTCCCATTCTGTAGGTTGCCTGTTCACTCTGATGGTGTTTTCTTTTGCTGTGCAGAAGCTCTTTAGTTTAATTAGATCCTATTTGTCAATTTTGGCTTTTGTTGCCATTGTTTTTGGTGTTTTAGACATGAAGTCCTTGCCCATGCCTATGTCCTGAGTGGTTTTGCCTAGGTTTTCTTCTAGGGTTTTTATGGTTTTAGGTCTAACATGTAAGTCTTTAATCCATCTTGAATTAATTTTTGTGTAAGGTGTAAGGAAGGGATCCAGTTTCAGCTTTCTACATATGGCTAGCCAGTTTTCCCAGCACCATTTATTAAATATGGAATCCTTTCCCCATTTCTTGTTTTTGTCAGGTTTGTCAAAGATCAGATGGTTGTAGATGTGTGGTGTTATTTCTGAGGCCTCTGTTCTGTCCCATTGGTCTATATCTCTGTTTTGGTACCAGTACCATGCTGTTTTGGTTACTGTAGCCTTGTAGTATAGTTTGAAGTCAGGTAGCATGATGCCTCCAGCTTTGTTCTTTTGGTTTAGGATTGACGTGGCAATGCGGGCTCTTTTTTGGTTCTATATGAACTTTAAAATAGTTTTTTCCTAGTCTGTGAAGAAAGTCATTGGTAGCTTGATGGGGATGGCATTGAATCTATAAATTACCTTGGGCAGTATGGCCATTTTCACGATATTGATTCTTCCTATCCATGAGCATGGAATGTTCTTCCATTTGTTTGTATCCTCTTTTATTTCATTGAGCAGTGGTTTGTAGTTCTCCTTGAAGAGGTCCTTCACATCCCTTGTAAGTTGGATTCCTAGGTATTTTATTCTCTTTGAAGCAATTGTGAATGGGAGTTCACTCATGATTTGGCTCTCTGTTTGTCTGTTATTAGTGTATAAGAATGCTTGTGATTTTTGCACATTGATTTTGTATCCTGGGACTTTGCTGAATTTGCTTATCCACTTAAGGAGATTTTGGGCTGAGATGATGGGGTTTTCTAAATATACAATCATGTCATCTGCAAACAGGGACAATTTGACTTCCTCTTTTCCTAATTGAATGCCCTTTATTTCCTTCTCCTGTCTGATTGTCCTGGCCAGAACTTCCAACACTATGTTGAATAGGAATGGGGAGAGAGGGCATCCCTGTCTTGTGCCAGTTTTCAAAGGGAATGCTTCCAGTTTTTGTCCATTCAGTATGATATTGGCTGTGGGTTTGTCATAGATAGTTCTTATTATTTTGAGATATGTCCCATCAATACCTAATTTATTGAGAGTTTTTAGCATGAAGGGTTGTTGAATTTTGTCAAAGGCTTTTTCTGCATCTATTGAGATAATCATGTGGTTTTTGTCTTTGGTTCTGTTTATATGCTGGATTACGTTTATTGATTTTCATATGTTGAACCAGCCTTGCATCCCAAGGATGAAGCCCACTTGATCATGGTGGATAAGCTTTTTGATGTGTTGCTGGATTCGGTTTGCCAGTATTTTATTGAGGATTTTTGCATCAATGTTCATCAAAGATATTGGTCTAAAATTCTCTTTTTTTGTTGTGTCTCTGCCAGGCATTGGTATCAGGATGATGCTGCCCTCATAAAATGAGTTAGGGAGGATTCCCTCTTTTTCTATTGATTGGAATAGTTTCAGAAGGAATGGTACCAGCTCCTCCTTGTACCTCTGGTAGAATTCGGCTGTGAATCCATCTGGTCCTGGACTTTTTTTGATTGGTAAGCTATTAATTGTTGCCTCAATTTCAGAACCTGTTATTGGTCTATTCAGATATTCAGCTTCTTCCTGGTTTAGTCTTGGGAGGGTGTATGTGTCGAGGAATTTATCCATTTCTTTTAGGTTTTCTAGTTTATTTGCGTAGAGGTGTTTATAGTATTCTCTGATGGTAGTTTGTATTTCTGTGGAATCAGTGGTGATATCCCCTTTGTCATTTTTTATTGCGTCTATTTCATTCTTCTATCTTTTCTTCTTTATTAGTCTTGCTAGCGGTCTATCAATTTCATCGATCTTTTCAAAAAACCAGCTCCTGGATTCATTGATTTTTTGAAGGGTTTTTTGTGTCTCTAATTCCTTCAGTTCTGCTCTGATCTTAGTTCTATTTCTTGCGTTCTGCTAGCTTTTGAATGTGTTTGCTCTTGCTTCTCTAGTTCTTTTAATTGTGATGTTAGGGTGTCAATTTCAGGTCTTTCCTGCTTTCTCTTGTGGGCATTTAGTGCTATAAATTTCCCTCTATACACTGCTTTGAATGTGTCCCAGAGATTCTGGTATGTTGTGTCTTTGTTCTTGTTGGTTTCAAAGAATATCTGTGTTTCTGCCTTCATTTCGTTATGTACCCAGTAGTCATTCAGGAGCAGGTTGTTCAGTTTCCATGTAGTTGAGTGGTTTTGAGTGAGTTTCTTAATCCTGAGTTCTAGTTTGATTGCACTGTGGTCTGAGAGACAGCTTGTTATAATTTCTGTTCTTTTACATTTGCTGAGGAGTGCTTTATTTCCAACTATTTCGTCAATTTTGGAATAGGTGTGGTGTGGTGCTGAAAAGAATGTATATTCTGTTAATTTGGGGTGGAGAGTTCTGCAGATGTCTATTGGTCTGCTTGGTGCAGAGCTGAGTTCAATTCCTGGTTATCCTTGTTAACTTTCTGTCTCGTTGATCTGTCTAATGTTGACAGTGGAGTGTTAAAGTCTCCCATTATTATTGCGTGGGAGTCTAAGTCTCTTTGTAGGTCACTAAGGACTTGCTTTATGAATCTGGGTGCTCCTGTATTGGGTGCATATATATTTAGGATAGTTAGTTCTTGTTGAATTGATCCCTTTACCATTATGTAATGGCCTTCTTTGTCTCTTTTGATCTTTGTTGGTTTAAAGTCTGTTTTATCCGAGACTAGGATTGCAAACCCTGCCTTTTTATTGTTTTCCATTTGCTTGGTAGATCTTCCTCCATCCCTTTATTTTGAGCCTATGTTTGTCTCTGCACGTGAGATGGGTTTCCTGAATACAGTACACTGATGGGTCTTGACTCTTTATCCAATTGCCAGTCTGTGCCTTTTAATTGGAGCATTTAGCCCATTTACATTTAAGGTTAGTATTGTCATGTGTGAATTTGATCCTATCATTATGATGTTAGCTGATTATTTTGCTTGTTAGTTGATGCAGTTTCTTCCTAGCCTCGATGGTCTTTACAATTTGGCATGTTTTTGCAGTGGCTGGTACTGGTTGTTCCTTTCCATGTTTACTGCTTCCTTCAGGAGCTCTTTTAGGGCAGGCTTGGTGGTGACAAAATCTCTCAGCATTTGCTTGTCTGTAAGGTATTTTATTTCTCCTTCACTTATGAAGCTTAGTTTGGCTGGATATGAAATCCTGGGTTGAAAATTCTTTTCTTTAAGAATGTTGAATATTGGCCCTCACTCTCTTCTGGCTTGTAGAGTTTCTGCTGAGAGATCAGCTGTTAGTCTGATGGGCTTCCCTTTGTGGGTAACCCGACCTTTCTCTCTGGCTGCCCTTAACATTTTTTCCTTCATTTCAACTTTGGTGAATCTGACAATTATGTGTCTTGGAGTTGCTCTTCTCGAGGAGTATCTTTGTGGCATTCTCTTTATTTCCTGAATTTGAATGTTGGCCTGCCTTGCTAGATTGGGGAAGTTCTCCTGTATAATATCCTGCAGAGTGTTTTCCAACTTGGTTCCATTCTCCCCGTCACTTTCAGGTACACCAATCAGACGTAGATTTGGTGTTTTCACATAGTCCCATATTTCTTGGAGGCTTTGTTCATTTCTTTTTATTCTTTTTTCTCTAAACTTCTCTTCACGCTTCATTTCATTCATTTCTTCTTCCATCGCTGATACCCTTTCTTCCAGTTGATCGCATCGGTTACTGAGGCTTGTGCATTCATCACGTAGTTCTCGTGCCGTGGTTTTCAGCTCCATCAGGTCCTTTAAGGACTTCTCTGCATTGGTTATTCTAGTTATCCATTCATCTAATTTTTTTTCAAAGTTTTTAACTTCTTTGCCATTGGTTCTAACTTCCTCCTTTAGCTCGGAGTAGTTTGATCTTCTGAAGCCTTCCTCTCTCAATTCGTCAATGTCATTCTCCATCCAGCTTTGTTCCATTGCTGATGAGGAGCTGCGTTCCTTTGGAGGAGGAGAGGCGCTCTGATTTTTAGAGTTTCTGGTTTTTCTGCTCTGTTTTTTCCCCATCTTTGTGGTTTTATCTACCTTTGGTCTTTGATGATGGTGACGTACAGATGGGTTTTTGGTGTGGATGTCCTTTCTGTTTGTTAGTTTGCCTTCTAACAGTCAGGACCCTCAGCTGCAGGTCTGTTGGAGTTTACTGGGGGTCCACTCCAGACTGTGTTTGCCTGGGTATCAGCAGCAGTGGCTGCAGAACAGCAGATATTGGTGAACTGCAAATGCTGCTGCCTGATCGTTCCTCTGGAAGTTTTGTCTCAGAGGAGTACCCAGCCGTGTGAGGTGTCAGTCCGCCCGTACTGGGGGATGCCTCCCAGTTAAGCTACTCGGGGGTCAGGGACCCACTTGAGGAGGCAGTCTGCCCGTTCTCAGATCTCAAGCTGCGTGCTGGGAGAACTACTACTCTCTTTAAAGCTGTCAGACAGGGACATTTAAGTCTGCAGAGGTTATTGCTGCCTTTTGTTTGTCTGTGCCCTGTCGCTAGAGGTGGAGTCTACAGAGGCAGGCAGGCCTCCTTGAGCTGTGGTGGGCTCCACCCAGTTCAAGTTTCCCAGCTGCTTTGTTTACCTACTCAAGCCTGAGCAATGGCTGGCGCCCCTCCCCCAGCCTTGCTGCCACCTTGCAGTTTGATCTCAGACTGCTGTGCTAGCAATGAGCGAGGCTCCGTGGGCTTAGGACCCTCCGAGCCAGGTGCGGGATATAGTCTCCTGGTGTGCTGTTTTTTAAGCTCGTCAGAAAAGCACAGTATTAGGGTGGGAGTGACCCAATTTTCCAGGTGGTGCCGTCTGTCACCCCTTTCTTTGACCAGGAAAGGGAATTCCCTGACCCCTTGTGCTTCCCAGGTGAGGCAATGCCTTGCCCTGCTTCGGCTCACACACGGTGCGCTGCACCCACTGTCCTGCACCCACTGTCCAGCACTCCCCAGTGAGATGAACCTGGTACCTCAGTTGGAAATGCAGAAATCACCCGTCTTCTGCATCGCTCATGCCGGGAGCTGTAGACTGGAGCTCTTCCTATTTGGCCATCTTCAATTGTTATATAACAATTTGCGCAGGCCCTAACTTCTGTGTAAAAAAAAAAAAAAAGACATAAATATTTAGAGAGTATATATAAATATGTAGTTTCTCATGAAACTTAATAGCCATTTTTTGTGGAAATAATTGAATTATATTTATTTTGACATTGCAAAAGTATTGAACAGTACAAATAAGTATATGAACACCATAATTTTTTTCATTTTTTATTTTCAAGATAACATAATTCAAAACATCAGTCAAATGAAATGTAAAAAAAAAATACCTTCAAGTATATAATAAGCCGTTTGTCTGAAACTCTGTAGATCCTTTTGGTATTGCTACAAAACCTCAAAGTTTGGAGGAAAAAATTCACAGGAAAAGTAGATTCTAACTCAAGATAGTAGCCTGATTACATTGATCTCTGCTGATGGACTGAGCACATTTGTCTTCTTTATTTCTTTGTAACATTTCACTAAAATGTAAGCAGTTTTTTAAAAAAGGATACTGTAAAAAGGTGTCATCAGATCCTTTTGTGGTTTGTAAGAATGATGACTGTGTTTTACACTCAAGATGTGCCTTTCTCAAACCTTATTACCATGTTGGCACATTACCTGTCTGATGTGAGGGGAAAGGGGACATTGGTGGATCAAAAATTCTAAAGAATTCCTAGAGGACTGAAATCAGATAGGATTTATTTGAATAGAAAACAAAAAAAGTAAACAAGTATTAGCAGCATTCCTTTTGGGAAATCCTGAAGAAACTCTGAGTTCAAAATCAAGACGTGAAGAGCAGGTGTGGGCCATGGGACGATTAGTGGAAATAAACTTAAAAAATGCTGAGGCCGGGTGCAGTGGCTCACACCTGTAATCCCAACACTTTGGGAGGCCGAGGCGGGTGGATCACAAGGTCAGGAAATCGAGACCATCTTGGCCAACATGGTGAAACCCATCTCTACTAAAAATACAAAAATTAGCTGGGTGTGGTGGCGCACACCTGTAGTCTCAGTTACTCGGGAGGCTGAGGCAGGAGAATCGCTTGAACTGGGGAAGCAGATATTGCACTGAGTCGAGATCGAGCCACTGCACTCCAGCCTAGGTGACAGAGTAAGACTCCATCTCAAAAAAAGAAAAAAAAAAGTGCTGATGTCCCCACCTGGATGCTCCCACCCCTCCCCAGTTGGACATGTCCACATAGGATGTAGATGGGAGAATGCTTTCAGGAGTAATATAATACCTGTAAGAGGAGGAGGGAAGCAGGAGGAAGTGAAGGAGGGAAGTAGGAGGGCAGATGGAGAAGGTGAGCTGTCAATCAGTTGCAACACAGGCCTCAGCCGATTCCACAGGGAGCTCCAAAGCAGTAATGTCCCTTGAGACTTGCCCTGAATTAAGGCAAGGGGTTGAAGTCTTTGTACTAATGGTTGACCACTCTTGGGATGTGGGCTGCTCCTGGTAGTGAGTGTAATTTTGGGTGAGGCCATTTCCTTCAGCAATTCCTGCAGAGGAACTCAGCTATGAGCTCTCAGAAAGCAACACTCCCGACAGCTGAGCAAATGAGTGCCTCAGTCCCGAAGGAAGGATCTGGGTGTTCACCTTGCAGAGCCCATTACCCACCTGAATGTTCTTCTCTAAAGAGAATGTGAATCTGTCTGGAGACGCGCTGATGTGTGCACTGACAGAAAAGAAGAGCAGAGCAGAATTTTATATTATTTCGGATTTTGAAGTCAAACACTAAAGACCTCTCAAAAATGGCAGTTTAGCCTAGGAATGAAGTGCATTATAATTTCTACATCCAGAATAAATCTTCTTTCCTTAAGCAATTTGACTACCTCATTTGCCTCCTACTCTATAGCATTTATAGCATCCACATTTTTTCCCAAACAATGTCTAATAATTAAACAAATGTACCAGTCATCCCAAGAAGGAAGACCAAGGGAAAGATTAGAGAATGGGTCTAGACTCATAAGTGGCCCAGATATTGCAGTCATAATGAATGGATTTAAACCAACTATTATTAACATATTCAAGAAAATATAAAAAATTTTATATCAGAGGACAAATAGATATAGAAAAGAATAAAATGAAAACTCAAGAACCAAAAACACAATAGCTAAAATTAAGATCTCAGTAGATGGGTTTAACAATAGAATGGTTGCAGTTGAAGAGAGTATTCATGAAAAGGAATGTAGATTTGTAGTAAGTAACTAGATTCAAATACCATGAAAAAAAGCGATAGGCTGCAGGAAAGAACAAAAGTATATAGGAGACTGATAGAAATTTCTTACATGTGTGTAGCTGAAGTCCTGAAAGGAAAGGAAGAGGGAGAATAAAGCAGAAACAATAGTTGAAGAAAAAATGGCTGATAAAATTCCCAAACTGACAAAAGACATAAAGCCACATATTCAAATAATATGCAAATTCCAAGCTATATTAAATATAAAGAAAACCTCACCAAGATGTATCATAGTAAAACCATGAAAGCCAAAGACAAAGATATAATCCTAAACTCAGAGGATAAAAGATAAATTAGGAGCAGCAATAAGGCTGACAATGATTTCTCAACAGTGATGATAGAAACAACTACAGAAATAATAAATGGCATCTATCTTTAAAGTACTAAAAGAAAATAACTGCTAACTTCAAATTCTGTTGAGAGGGAGTATTCTTCAAAAGTGAAGATGAAATAAAGACATTCCAGACACACAAAAAGTGAGAGAATTTGTCACCATCGGGCCTGCACTAAAAAAATGGAAGTTCTTTAAGAAGAGGGATAAGGTTTTTGGCAAACTAACACAGGAATGGAAAACCAAATACTGCATGTTCTCACTTATAAGTGGGAGCTAAATGATGAGAACGCATGGACACAGAAAAGGGACAACATGCACTGGGGCCTATTGGAGGGTGGAGGATGAGAGGACGGGGAGGTTCAGGAAAAGTAACTAATGGGTAGTGGGTGATTAAATAATCTGCACAACAAACCCCCATGACCCAACTTTATCTATGTAACCAACCTGCACTTATACTACTAAACTTACAATAAAAGTTAAAAAAAGAAAAAGGATAAAGAGCCGAGATGGAAACATGAAAATATAGGAAGCAATGAAGAGCAATAGAAAGTATAAAATATAATAAGTCTAATATTGACTATACATTGTAATAACAATAATATTAATAATGTCTTGTAGAGTCCAAAATATGTATAGAATAAAGTACACATTACAAAAGATAAACAAGAAATAAATGAATTAAAGTATTCTAAGGTCTTAATATTGTATGGTAAGGAGCAAAAATTTCACATTTTAATAAGTCAAGGAGTCACATTGTGTGACCACTTAGAAGATATTAGATATGTGTAACTAGCACATGGAATGATAAAAATGGAATGATAAAAAATACATGATGGATTTAAGCGAGGGCAAGAAAAAAATTAGGAAAACAGAACAAGAGGGGCAAATAGAAAACAGGAAAATGGTAGTTATAAACCCGATGTATTAGTAGTTATATTATTTATTAATAGACTAATCACTTCAATTATAGAACAAACAAGAACAAAGATTTCAGACTGGATAAGAAATTACCTTAAAAAATTTTTTTTCTATCTTAATTTTTGTGGGTACATAGTAGGTGTATATATCTACAGAGTACATGAGATATTTTGATACAGGCATACAATGTGTAATAATCACATAAGGGTAAATGGGCTATCCATCACCTCAAGCATTTATCGTTTCTTTGTGTTACAAACATTTCTATTGTACTCTTTTTTTAAAATTATACTTTAAGTTCTGGGGTACATGTGCAGAACATGCAGGTTTGTTATATAGGTATACGCAGGCCATGGTGGTTTGCTGCACCCATCAACCCGTCACCTACATTAGGTATTTCTCCTAATGCTACCCCTCCCCTAGTCCCTCACCACCTGATAGGCCCCAGTGTGTGATGTTCCCCTTCCTGTGTCCATGTGTTCTCATTGTTCAACTCCCACTTATGAGTGAGAACATGCAGTGTTTGGTTTTCTGTTCTTGTGATAGTTTGCTGAGAAGGATGGTTTCCAGCTTCATCCATGTCCCTGCAAAGGACATGAACTCATTCTTTTTTATGGCTGCATAGTATTCCATGGTGTGTATGTGCCACATTTTCTTTATTCAGTGTATCACTGATGGGCATTTGGGTTGGTTCCATGTCTTTGCTATTGTGAATAGTGCCACAATAAACATATGTGTGCATGTATCTTTATAGTAGAATGATTTATAATCCTTTGGGTATGTGCCCAGTAATGGGATTGCTGGGTCAAATGGTATTTCTAGTTCTAGGTCCCTGAGGAATCGCCACACCGACTTCCACAATGGTTGAACTAATTTACACTCCCACCAACAGTGTAAAAGCGTTCTTATTTCTCCACACCCTCTCCAGCATCTCTTGTTTCCTGACTTTTTAATGATTGCCATTCTAACTGGTGTGAGATGGTATCTCATTGTGGTTTTGATTTGCATTTCTCTAATGACCAGTGATGATGAGCATTTTTTCATATGTCTGTTGGCTGCATAACTGTCTTCTTTTGAGAAGTGTCTGTTCATATCCTTTGCCCACTTTTTGATCAGTTTTTTTGTTTTTTTCTTGTAAATGTGTTTAAGTTATTTGTAGATTCTGGGTATTAGCCCTTTGTCAGATGGATAGATTGCAAACATTTTCTCCCATTCTGTAGGTTGCCTGTTCACTCTGCTGATAGTTTTTTTGCTGTGCAGAAGCTCTTTAGTTTAATTAGATCCCATTTGTCAATTTTGGCTTTTGTTACCATTGCTTTTGGTGTTTTAGACATGAAGTCTTTGCCCATGCCTATGTCCTGAATTATTTTAAAATGTACAATAAATTATTATTGACTGTAATCACCCTGTTGTGCTATCAAATACTAAATCGTATTCATTCTACCTATATTTTTGTACTCATTAACCATCCCCACTTTACCCGCAAGTCCCCACTACCCTTCCCAGCCTCTTGTAATCATCATTTTACTCTTTATCTCCATGAGTGGATGATTTTAATTTTTAGCTTCCACAAATGAGTGAAAACATGTGAAGTCTGTCTTTCTGTGTCTTGGTTATTTTATTTACTTAATATAATGTCCTCCACTATATTAAGTTCCATCCACGTTGTTGCAAATGACAGTATCTCATTCTTTTTTTATGGCTGAATAGTACACCATTGTGTATATGTACCACATTTTCTTTCCATTTGTCTTTCAATGGACACTGAGGTTGCTTCCAAATCTTGGCTATTGTGAATAATGCTGCAATTAACATGAGAGTACATATATCTCTTCAATATTCTGGTTTTCTTTCTTTGGAGTATATATCTAGCAGTAGGGTTGCTAGATCATATGGTAGTTCTATTTTTAGTTTTTTGAGGAATCTCCATAGTGTTCTCCATAATGGCTGTACTAATTTACATTCTCCCCAACAGAATACAAGTGTTCCCTTTTCTGGTCAGCATTTGTTATTGCATGTCTTTTGGATAAAGGCCATTTTAACTGAGGTGAGATGATATCTCATTGTAGTTTTGATTTGCATTTATCTCATGATCAATGTTATTGAGAACAAGAAATTATCTCTTAATCTCCAAATCAATGTCAATGCCTTTGTTGTTTACTTTCTGAAATGAAGAATATACTTCTTTCCTTTAGAGGTTGTAATATGTTCAAAGTTAGTGTTCTCTATCACCAAAATTGATTGCAAATGTACATCTGTTAACGAAATTAGATTTTATGTATTTCATCTTTGAAAATGTCTTTTTACACTGATAGGTTCTGTCAAATATTGATATTAGTCCATGAGCAGGTAATTTTAACTGAGCACATTAATCATTTGGAAAGCATTTGTGGAATTCCATTAGATTCTTTTCTTGATATTTGTCTTTTTTATTATTTCATTGCATTGCAGATTAAACACTTCCAATTGAAAGTTAGATTGAAGCTCCTTAATTGCTTTAGTTAAACGAAATTCCTTGTGTGTTAAATGAATTTTGAAATATGCAAATTTCCTTTATACTTGCATTGAGGTCTGAAAAACATTGCCAGAACTGTAGCTTGAGCTTGCAAAATATATCTGCTGCAAATTTGTGTGAGAATGAAGATCTCACTTCTTGTTTTAACTTTTGACAGCATGGGAAGTGTATAAAACATACTAGGTGTAACCAAGAGAAATAACTTGGGCCCTAAGAATTTACATTTTATTTATTTAGGTGGCTAATTCTTACTGATAGCACTTGTTAATTGGAAACTTTTATTAATCACAGTAAAACACAATACTATGCTCAATTTAAATTAAATTAACTTTTATATTTAATTTTGTTATCTACAACACAATTTACAGAATGGCTCTATAAAACATTTTTCTCACACATTATTTGTCATAGTTAATTTTTATAGTTCTATAGCTTTTTGGAGTATATTACCATTTCCTTTGTTCTCCTGGAGCGAAGCCTTCATTGGCTTCTGGTTTGGAATTTTATTAAGGAATTTGGAAACCAAAATGGACTAGACAGCATTAGTCTTGTCATTCAAAATGTTGCATCACTGATTTTCACTGCATTGTCACCTTTAAGTCATGCTGAAAAAGGAAATGGCAAAATTAGAAACCCGTTGACCTATTTGCACATTTTTCATTAGAATTAATACTCATTTTTGCTTCTCTGAGCCTTACTTTCTGCATTCGTAAAATGGGGATGATGATACCTATTTTAAGGTCTTTAGGAGAAATAAGTTAGTGCATATAGAGTATTTGCTATTGTAGATCCTCAATATATTTTGCTTCTTGGATATTAAATTACTTAAATGCAACATTAAACGTTACTTTCAAATTTTTGCATACGTGTATTTCTTTTATCTTGGGACATCTCAAAGAATTGGTTGTTTATATGTCAGTTCACTTTCTTTTTTAAAGCATGAATTGCAAATACAGTACAATTTTATTACTCTTAGTCCTCGTGTTTTATATTAGATCTCTAGACTCTGTTCATCTTACACATATGCTTAAGCTTACTTTAATCATATCCTAGGGAAAAATAACTGTACAAAGTATTCTTTAAATATATATGTATATATTTCTAAATATACCACATTATTCATATAATTAAAACACTTTCTGCTCTGTTTTATTATTTCTATAAATATGCTGCCTTTTGGCTAATTAAATATTATAGTGAGAAAATTAGGGAGGAAAATGAAAAACGTATCAGCTACCATTCCTTGAGGAGTATCATTCACAGACCATAGAAAAAGAACAAAACAGTTTGTGGAACACTGCAGCCTGAAACCGATCATTAGCAAACCAATGCCTTTCAAATCCAAAGGGTCTCTTTGTGGGTGGGGGGAATCACTACAACCTGATGTTTCTAAGCATCTCAAGAGGAACACCCCACGGAGCAATATTTTCTTTGGTGGCAACTTGTTAACTCAGGAACCACCGTTTTGTGCTTAACATGTGGTTGAAATTTTAAGCAGAAACCTGTAAATGAGTAGCTTAGTGTCTTAAAACCATATATTTAGCCAGATGAAGGTGTGGCTCCGTGAAAGTTTCTCTTTAGATGCCAATACTTTTAAGAGCAAAGGGTTGGACCACTTTTAGGCATTCTCGCAAGTGCGTAGAGGCTTCTTTCCTCTTCTTTTCTCCCCCAGATACTATTTTCACAGGTTGGAGAAATAGAAGTCACCTTCTATATTTGCCACATTTGAATGTGAAGACTGTGGTGGTTGTTTTAATAACTCAGAAGTATTCACATGTTTCCACCTGAATCTATTCTAAAGAGAAACCACAGTTCCAGAAATAAGCAAAGCAAACAAAAACAGAATAAATGAATGTGATGCCTTTTAGATGGCAGCTATTAAGGTTACTGGTAAAACAATGTTTGACTCTGCTAATATACTTCCCCCATCTTTAAAATGTAAATATAATTAGACGTTTCTGCTAAATTCTATTTCGGTACCCTCTGAATGTCAACGAGAGGTCAGAAGGGGGACACCTGGAGTGCGGGAACACCAGTCCTGTCTGCCTTGTGTTTGGGCCTCGGGAGTGGCTCACTCTGTTGGCCCATTCTCCTAGTCCTCCTTGAAGAGGACACACCACCAGTATTCAGTATTTCTGCTATTAGGGCTTCCCCATCTCTTATTGCTGGCTCTTTCTGAGTGCTCAAAGACTCCAGAGCTTCTTGCTATTATCATCTTTCCAGAGACTACTGAAGAATGAGATATTTACTTACTTGTTTGTTCATTCAACAAGTATCTAGAGATCATCTACACATGATCATAAAGTTATGGGATCCAAGGTTATAAAAAGAAATGAAGAATACAATCTGAAACTTGCAATCCAAGGAGGAAATACTCACACATTTAAAACATTTACACATTTAAATACAAAATTCAAAAGTTATATCACAATGCAAACGCATGAGTTAGTTGAGAAAATGTTAGCCAATGGAGACTGTATTTTCCAGCAGGGTGAATTTGGGCATGGCCAGACTGGCAAGTGTGGAAACCAAGCTATCTGGAAGGGTAGGCCGTATTTAGTGAGGAATCATTTGTTTTCAGGGAACAAAAATCCTCTCAAGATATCTCAAGAAATGGGAACTCAACTAGAGCAATATAATGAAACTGGAATGTCAGAGGCAGCCTCTCTGTCTCTCTTTCCATGTGATCTCTCTGCTCTTTCCTGTCCTAGTCTCTTCTCTACAAACTACCTTCCTTCATAGGGGTCTTGATTTCTGCTCTTCCTTAACCTCAGTTTAGATGCACCTTTTCGGCCAAGATCTCACCTTCAATTCCAACACTGGAAATGAGCCAGAGATAAACTCTTATTAGTAGTAATGACATAAAACTGTGCTTTTGTGTTACTTTTTCCAGAAGCACCCAGAAACCCAGATGTAGGGATGAAGAAGCCAGATGGTATAAATGGTTGTAGAATTGGCAGGATGTAGACTGAATGTGGTGAAAGCAAACAGAAGCAAAGGCGTACAAGGTATGGCAAGAAAGCGTTTCAACTAATATAATCAAAATTGTATTAGGGAGTTCAAAGGGACAAAAACAGTGGGGAAAAGAGGAAAATCCAGGGACTGGAATGAAGAGATCAATAAAATGTATTTAATTTTCCATTTGCACTAGCTTTCCCCTTGTAATTAACATGCACAAGGTACTTTGTCTTGCTGAAAGTGTTACTGTAGTAAATTGATGTGTAACAAGGAATTTCCCAGGAAAATCATCTGTGTTGGAGATAACGGGTAGAAATTGGGAACCAGGAAGTATCTTGATGGCAACTGTAGTGCTTGTGTAGGAGTAGATGGATTAATTTTATGTTAATTCAGTGGTGGGAAGGAAGACTATCCAGTTGGCTAGTAGGTGAGTAGTGCTGAAGATACTATTCTGGGAGGCAATCATTTATCTCTGGTTATTGGTTTAAGAATGGTCAGCTAATGGCATTGAATTTCAGTGGGTAGAAAAGAGTTTGTAAATAAAAATGTGGGTTCTAGTCTGAAATAAGATAGCTAAGGAGTCTATATAGATGGAAGATGATAATTCTGAGCATAAATTTCTACAGGTGCTATGGGGAGTTTATTCTTTAGTGTATTAGAATCCTAGTCATTTTGGTAAAGCATCAGTGTTCATGAGTATGAACTCTTTGTCACACACTGGACACACACACACACACCTCTGAACTTTGTACTTATTCCCAAAGGATACTCCATGGGATATCTGAGCACCAGGAGTGCCGGCACACAAATCTTGAACTAGAAGACCTAAGTTCCAGAGAGCTTCCCATGGTGCCAGTCCTGTGCACACAGGCAGAGAGAGGAAGAGACTGGGTCTCGGGTGGAGGAGTCAGTTGATGATGTCTGTGCCCCTGAATTTGGTGATGAGATAAAATAGAGACCAAAGCCAGGACCTTAATGCATGGACCCTGTGCTGTTTTTGCTAAGAAGAAAATGGCCAGGAGGGAGGGCCAGCACAGATATCTGACTGCAAATTGCATCAGACAAGGTTAATTAGTTAATCTAGTAGTCTGTACATTTTTTACTCTAATAGGCTAAACATTTATTCAGGTGACCAAGTACTATTTGAGACTGAGACCCAGAGGGGGTATGTTGCTTCTGAAGGTTGATACATCCCGGTTGCATGATTCCTAGTTCCTGGCACGTAGGGTCTCCCAAGATTTATAGTTGAGAATATATAGTCTTATTTTCCCAGATGGTATAGTTTTGAATGATATGGATGAAATTGTGGGAAATATTAGTCCAGAATCACAAATGGGTCCATTTTAGTCACTGGCCCTCAGTTCATGTCAATGAATGTGAGCAATCTTTGGATAGCATCTTCTTTGGGAGATGGAAGAACTGTATTTCAAAGGTAAATAAGGATACAATTAAAACAGATGACCTCACATCTGTGTCCATATGCTTGGCATAAGCCTCCAAGTGGCTGTGACTCTTGAACTACGTTCAGAAAATGGCACCCCAGAATATATATATGTCTGTAACATTCCTCATGCCTTTTAAAAATTAAGATAAAATTTACTTAACATAAATTAACTTTTGAAAAGTGTGCAACTCATTGGCATTTAGTACATTCACAATGTTGTGCAATCATCACGTCTATGTAGTTCTAAAACATTTCATCATCCCAAAAGGAAACTCCAAAATCATGAAGCACTTTATGTCTTTTTGTATTCATACCATTTCCAACTTCCTGGAGGTTCTTCTGTCTCCTACCCATCTGTGGAAATTCAAACCAGGTTATGTTGAAACTAAAATAGTTAGAAAAAGGGAATGAGACAGGAACAAGCCTGAGGGTGGGCCCAGTAGCTGGGATCCCAGGTGGACTTACGCCATGTTCTGCCTTCAATCGGAAGTTCTCTTGGGAGATCTGCATTAAGCAGTACGTTCTTGTTTTCTATTTTTTAAACTTTAACTTTTATTTGTATATATATATAAAAATACTTTTACATTAATGCATAATGCAGATTTGATTTTTTTAATTTCAGCTTTTATTTTAGGCACAGGGGGTACATGTGCAGGTTTGTTATATGGGTATATTGCAACCACGTAGTAAGCATAGTACCCAATAGGCACTTTTGCAACCCATTCCCCTTTCTCTCCCTCTCCCCTTCTGGTAGTCTGCAGTGTTTATTGTTCCCGTGTTTACATCCATTGTGCTCAATGGTTAGTTCCCATTTATAAATGATGACATGAGATATTAAAACAGATGCTGGCAAGGCTGAAGAGAAAGGCAATGCTTATACACTCTTGGTGGGAACGTAAATTAGTTCAGCCACTATGGAAAGAAGTTTGGAGATTTCTCAGAGAACTTAAACCAGAACTACCATTTGACCCAGTAGCCCATTACTGGGTATATACCCAAAGGAAATGGATCCTTATACCAAAAAGACACATGCACTCGTATGTTCTTTGCTGTGCTATTCACAATAGCAAATACATAGAATCAACCTGCCTTCCCAGGAATGGTGATTGGATAAAGACGATATGGTTCATACACACCATAGAATACTACCCAGCCATAAAAAAGAACTGTCCTTTGCAACAATGTGGATGCAGCTAGAGGCCATAATCATAAGCAGATTATTATTTCAAGTACAACCTTTCTTTGCATTTTTGGTTCTCCCTTTTCCTTCTCCTCACACTCATAACCTGCCTCCTCCACCCCACATATATTCTCTCATTCATAACAACTTAGTATGTATCCTTCCACTTCTTCATTTCTATATGTTCATAGAATCACATACAGACATTTATTGACTATAAGATGCATATATTTTTTCTTTTCTTTTATAAAAATTATTATATGTGAATACCTGTATAACCACCCATCTTATATATTTTACACAACAATATAGATGTCATGAATATCACTTCAACTATTTAGCTCTGATTTCTTCTTCTTAATAAATATCATATAGCATGACTGTGGCATAATTTATACCATAATTCTCCAATTGATGGTCATTTGTTATGCTTTCATCTATTTATTTATTCTTTTCCCACTATTAATAAGAGTACAATAGACTTTCTTATAACATGTCATTGTATACCACAAGCTTGATTTACATAGGATAGATTCCCTGAAGGGGTATTAAATCAAAGCATATGCATTAATTTTAAAATTTCAACACGTATTTCTAAGCTGCTTTTAGAAAAGCAGTGGCAACAATTTCCACTTTGGAGAGAGCGCTATTTATTACACCTTTGCCAGCTTGGTAAGTGTGCAATAATATTCATTGTTACTTTAATCTGTATTTCACTACCAGTAAATTCGACCATCTTTTCATATTTATGAGATACCTAGGTTTCCCATACATATTTCTTGCTGACTTTTCTGTCTTTTACTTCTCCATTTTTAGTATAGCTACCACTTTGTCTTAATATATGTTGTAATTATCTTCTTTAAATCCATTGTTACTTCATTTTTATTAAAAATATATTGGTTTTTGTTCTGTTTTAGCTCCAAGTATATAAGCACTTCATCATCTATAGACTGTTGTTAGGTCTCCTAGGCCTTCTTACAAGATTTGTATTATTCATTTTCCCATTTAATTATTTAATTCATGTTAATTTTTAAATTTTATATTGGAAAAATAAGTATCCGGTTGTATTTTTTTCAAAAAGTATGAAATGGTTTGGCTGTGTCCACACTCAAATCTCATCTTAAATTGTAGTTCCCATAATCCCCATGTGTCATGGGAAGGGAGGAACCAGGTGGAGATAATTAAATCATGGGGGTGGTTTCCCCTATTCTGTTCTCATGATAGTAAGTTCTCACAAGATGTGACGGTTTTACAAGGGGCTTTCCCCTTTGCTGGGCACTCATTCTTCTCTCTTGCCTATTGCCATGTAAGACGTGATACTGAATGGGCAAAACTGGAAGAATTCCCTTTGAAAACTGGCACAAGACATGGATGCCCTCTCTCACCACTCCTATTCAACATACTGTTGGAAGTTCTGGCCAGGGCAATCAGGCAGGAGAATGAAATAAAGGGTATTCAATTAGGAAAAGAGGAAGTCAAATTGTCCCTGTTTGCAGATGACATGATTGTATATTTAGAAAACCCCATCATCTCAGCCCAAAATCTCCTTAAGTGGATAAGCAACTTCAGCAAAGTCTCAAGATACAAAATCAATGTGCAAAAATCACAAGCATTCTTATACACCAATAACAGACAAACAGCCAAATCATGAGTGAACTCCCATTCGCAATTGCTTCAAAGAGAATAAAATACCTAGGAATCCAACTTACAAGGGATGTGAAGGACCTCTTCAAGGAGAACTACAAGCCACTGCTCAACGAAATAAAAGAGGATACAAACAAATGGAAGAACATTCCATGCTCATGGATAGAAAGAATCAATATCGTGAAAATGGCCATACCGCCCAAGGTAATTTATAGATTCAATGCCATCCCCATCAAGCTACCAATGACTTTCTTCACAGAATTGGAAAAAACTACTTCAAAGTTCATATGGAACCAAAAAAGAGCCTGCATTGCCAAGTCGATCCTAAGCCAAAAGAACAAAGCTGAAGCCATCACACTACCTGACTTCAAACTATACTACAAGGCTACAGTAACCAAAACAGCATGGTACTGGTACCAAAACAGAGATATAGACCAATGGAACAGAACAGAGTCCTCAGAAATAACACCACACATCTACAACCATCTGATCTTTGACAAACCTGACAAAAACAAGAAATGAGGAAAGGATTCCCTATTTAATAAATGGTGCTGGGAAAACTGGCTAGCCATATGTAGAAAGCTGAAACTGGATCCCTTCCTTACACCTTACACAAAAATTAATTCAAGATGGATTAAAGACTTACATGTTAGACCTAAAACCATAAAAACCCTAGAAGAAATCCTAGGCATTACCATTCAGGACATAGGCATGGGCAAGGACTTCATGTTTAAAACACCAAAAACAATGGCAACAAAAGCCAAAATTGACAAATGGGATCTAATTAAGCTAAAGAGCTTCTGCACAGCAAAAGAAAACACCATCAGAGTGAACAGGCAACCTACAGAATGGGAGAAAATTTTTGCAACCTACTCATCTGACAAAGGGCTAATATCCAGAATCTACAATGAACACAAACAAATTTACAAGAAAAAAACAAACAACTCCATCAAAAAGTGGGTGAAGGATATGAACAGACACTTCTCAAAAGAAGACATTTATGCAGCCAAAAAACACATGAAAAAATGCTCATCGTCACTGGCCATCAGAGAAATGCAAATCAAAACCACAATGAGATACCATCTCACACCAGTTAGAACAGTGATCATTAAAAAGTCAAGAAATAACAGGTGCTGGAGAGGATGTGGAGAATTAGGAACACTTTTACACTGTTGGTGGGACTGTAAACTAGTTCAACCATTGTGGAAGTCGGTGTGGCGATTCCTCAGGGACCTAGAACTAGAAATATCATTTGACCCAGCCATCCCATACTGGGTATATACCCAAAGGATTATAAATCATGCTGCTATAAAGACACATGCACACATATGTTTATTGTGGCACTATTCACAATAGCAAAGACTTGGAACCAATCCAAATGTCCATCAATGATAGACTGGATTAAGAAAATGTGGCACATATACACCATGGAATACTATACAGCCATAAAAAAGGATGAGTTCATATCCTTTGCAGGGACATGGATGAAGCTAGAAACCATCATTCTGAGCAAACTATCGCAAGGATAGAAAACCAAACACTGTCTGTTCTCACTCATAGGTGGGAATTGAACACTGAGAACACTTGGACACAGGAAGGGAAACATCACACACTGGGACCTGTTGTGGGGTGGGGGGAGGGGGAGGGGGAGGGATAGCATTAGGAGATATACCTAATGTAAATGACGAGTTAATGGGTGCAGCACACCAACATGGCACATGTATACATATGTAACAAACCTGCACATTGTGCACATGTACCCTAGAACTTAAAGTATAATTAAAAAAAAAGAGATAATTTAGGGTATCTGGCAGAAAAAATTTCTAAGCAGCAAACCATTCAAGCTGTGACTTGGGTGCTCTTAAAAGCATTCATTTTTTATTCATTCACAAAGATATGGTTTGGAATTGGAACTTATGTTTAAAGGAAAGCAAAGCATAAAATTTCAGAAAATTTGCAGCCTAACAATGCAATAGAAAAAAAAATTTCTAAGGAGAAATTCAAGCTGGCTGCAGAAATTTGCATAAGTCACAAGAAGCCAAATGTTAACCACAAAAACTATGGATAAAATGTCTCCAGGGCATGTCAAAGGTCTGCATGGCAGCCCCTCCCATCACAGGCCAAAATGCTTAGGGGGAAAAATAGTTTTGTGTACTGGCCCCAGGGCCTGGCTGCTTTGTGCAGTCCTGGGGCATGGTGCCCCACGTCCCAGCCATGGCTAAAAGAGGCCAACATAAAGCTCAGGCAATTGCTCCAAAGGATGTGAGCCCCAAGCCTTGGTGGCTTACATGTGGTGTTGGGCCTGCAGGTGCACAGAAGTAAAGAATTAAAATTTGAAAACCTCTGACTACATTTCAGGTAATGTGCAGAAATGCCTGGATGTCCAGGCAGAAGTTTGCTGCAGGAGCAGAGCCTTCATGTAGAACCTCTGCTAGGGCAGTGCAGAAGGGAAATGGAGTTGGAACTACCACACAGTGTCCCCACTGGGGCATTGCCTAGTGGAACTGTGAGAAAAGTGCCACTGTGCTCCAGACCCCAAAATGGTAAATCCATCAACAATTTGCACTGTGCACCTGAAAAAGCCATAAACACTCAAAGCAGCCTATGAAAGCAGCCAGGAGGGGGGCTGTACCCTGCAAAGCCACAGGGGTGGAGCTTCCAAAGGCTGTGGAAGCCCACCTCTTGCATCAGTGTAATCTGAATGTAAGACATAAAGTCAAAGAAAATGATTTTAAAACTTTAAAGTTTAATAACTGCCATATTGGATTTTGGACTTGCATGGGGCCTGTACTCCCTTTGTTTTGGCCAATTTCTCCCATTTGGAATGGGTGTATTTACCCAATGCTTGTACCCCATTGTATCTGGAAAGTAACTAACTTGTTTTTAATTTTCTAGGGTCATAGGCAAAAGGGCCTTGCTTGTCCCAAATAAGACTTTAAACTTGAACTTGTAAGTTAATGCCAGAATAAGTTAAGATTTTGGGGGACTTTTGGAAGGGCATAGTTGTGTTTTAAATTGTAAAAACATAAAATTTGGGAGGGGTCAGGGATGGTATAATATGTTTTGGCTGTATCCCCACCCAAATCTCATCTTAAATTATAGTTCCCATTAATCCCCATGTGTCATGGGAGGGACTAGGTGAAGACAATTGAGTCTTGGGGGCAGTTTCCCCCATCGTGTTCTCATGACAGTAAATTCTCATGAGATCTAATGGTTTTATAAGGGGCTTCCCCCTTTGCTAGGCACTCCTTCTTCTCTCTTGCCTGCTGCCATGTAAAATGTGCCTTTGCTCCTCCTTTACCTTCCACCATGATTGTGAGGTCTCCCTAGCTGTGTGGAACTGTAAGCCCATTAAACCTCCTTTTCTTTATATTACCCAGTCTTGGGTGTTTTTTCATAGCATTATACAAATAAACTAATACAGTATGGTTACTTGTACCAGAGCCATTTATTAAAATCCTATGTCTCCTAAAAAATTAAATGACTATCATTGGCATACATTAAATTTTTTTAATGTGCACTGGTGTCTAGATATGGCATATTTATTTTATTCTACCAAGCTGATTATTATAGTTTTATACTACATCTTGTTGTCTGGTAAGACCAATACTTTCCCAATATGTTCTTTTAGAAACTTTTCTTGAACATCTTCAAATAGTTATTCTTTTTTAGAAATTGAAGATGATTTTAACTGCACCTGCCACCACCAGTAACCTACAAAACAACTTGGATTCTAACTGAGGTTGCATAAAGTCTATGTATCAATATTGAGATAATTTATTTCTATTAAATGTAGTCTTTATGTCCAAGAATGTTATTTATTTCCATTTGTTTATATATTTTTAATGTACTTTAATATGTTTTTATAATTTTACTCATATAATCCTGTGTCTATATTGTTATATTTACTTCTATGTTTTCTAAAATAGGTTTTTATCACTATTGGGAATGAAATACTTTTCCATATCAATTTTTGATTGTTTATTACTAGACAGAAAAAAGGTATTAATTTAGGAATACTTTTATTATTTATTTTGATTTTTCTCTACAGTTTCTAGATTTTATAGGTATAAAGCCAAAGCATGGAAAAAATGTAGTTTTTGTAAAGCCTTTTTTGTTTGGTCTTTCTTCCTTAAAAATGAAGTCACGGCTAAAAATTTTCTTCTGACTCCCACTGTTTTTCAAAATTAGGGTGCTCCTATTTATTGCTCTCTTGATATAATTTCCAGTTTGAGTTCCTCTTTGATTCAAGAATTCTCTAGTAGCATGTTTCTTTATATTCACATAGTTAAGATTTTGGTGAGAGCCTCGTTCATTATTTGCTTCTAATTTTATTGGATTTTGCTACTCAAATGTAAGCTATAAAAACCCTCTTTTTTAGCTTTTAATATTTTCTTTGTGATTAAGCACACAACTGATTATTTTCCACAGACAATATAGAAAAATGTAAATTTCTGCTGGAAGGAAACTCAGTTCCTCTACGTTTTTGCTTAATGTTTCTGGCTATCAAAACCATCCTATTCTAAAAGAAATCTGTTAAAGCCTTTAACTATCATGTTATTTTTACTACATTTTCCTTGTTTTGCTGACAGCTCAATTCAATGTATTTAGTTTCCATATTGCATGCTATAACCAGGTTTATGACATACATGACATAAATTCCACAAATCGTGCCTTTTATCATTAAATACTGTTACTCTTCCTATGATTTAATAAACTGGGATTTTGAAGAGCTACTCAATAAATAGCATCTCTCTGCCCCCATGTAAATAGAACAAGGTGAGAAATAAAAGCTAATGAATGGTATCCATGGCAGGAATGCTGTGATAATTTGTAGATCCCAATGTGAAAATGAAAATGTGAGCCCCCTTGTTTAATGGCCATTAAGAATTTCAAGATAATGACAGCAAAGCCTTATGCCAATTCAAGGGATTTTTAAAGTATGGAACCCTGTGTGATTAGTTAGATTATAAACCCATGCAGCTGGCGCAGGATATGGAAGTCTAAATATTAATTTTGTTACTAATAAATCCAATATAGCAGAATATATGGGAGCTAAATTGTCCTGCTAACTGCAAGTTAGATTTATAGTTAGCAGGCCAATTTGGTTGGCCTGCTTATGACTGATCAATACCACATTTTTGGTAGTCTAAGTGTAGTGTTTAAAAAGTCAATAATTTGTCAGACATAGTGTCTCACGCCTATAATCCTAGCACTTTGGGAGGACAAGGCAGGTGGATCACTTGAGCTCAGGAGTTCGAGGCCAGTCTGGGAAACATGGTGAAACCCAGTCTCTACCAAAAATACAAAACTTACCTGGGCATGGTGGCATGTGTCTGTAGTCCCAGCTACTTGGGAGGCTGAGGTGGGAGGATCACTTGAGCCTGGGCGGTTGAGGCTGTAGTGAGCCAAGATCACATAACTGCACTCCAGCCTGGACAACAGAGTGAGGCCCTGTCTCAAAAAAAAGAGTCAATAATTTAAAAATCTGGTTGTATGTAATATTATGTTAAATGATGGCATCTTATAGGTAATTTTGTATATGGAAGAAAATTCTGAATAATGTCACTGAGCCTCCTTTTCCATATTTTTAGCATATTTCACTTTCTCTTAACTTTTTCAAAAAGATTTGTGGATGAGTCATGGAGGATAAATGTCCCAGGAGATTCTCTCCTCTTCCTTCTGCACACTTTAGGAACAACACAAGCATTGGCCATGTGCACTATCTCACACCACACTGGAACTGGACTTTAACCCTGACCTAAAGAGGCCACCCCAAGTGATGAGAAAGAGACTGTTCTTTACAGCAATTTTATTCTTGGCTTTTCTTCTGAGGAGACGCAAGTGAAGTACATAATTAGTGTCAACGATGATGGCATGTGTTTATTTTTTCATGATGTGGACACCCAACTTCTGGGACCAGCTCTGAGGTCAGTGCTTGAAAGACCACCCAAATGGTTTTATTTTTTTGCTGTCTTTGTTGTCCTATAAGATTAAGAACTAAAAAAGTTAGGATCGTGACATGCTGGAAATAAGGCATGTTACAAAGAGGATAAAATATAGTTCTGTGATACACCAATTGTGCACGACGCATTCCAATTCCTCGCATTTGAACAAACTACCAGTAGCAATATGCTATGAATAGATTCAGATGTAGATATAGCCTTGAGATTTGCAGAAGCCAATCAGCTATCCTAATATTATTAAGAGTTGTGTGCTCCAGTAAGTCAGGGGGAAGAAAGGAAAGTATTAGGAATCCTGTTAAAGTCTTTAGCCAGTGGATGGGAAGACAATCAATGACGGTGGTCCCATAAGATTATAAAAGAGCTGAAAAATTCCTACCACCTAGTGACATCATTGCTATCATAATGCACAACTCATTACCCTTTCTATGTTTAGAATGTTTGGATACACAAATATTTACCATTATGTTACAATTTTCTACAGTATTTACAGTAGCATGCTGATCAGATTTATAGCCTGGGAGCAATAGGCTATACCACATAGCCTCGGTATGTAGTAGGCTATACCATCTAGGTTTGTAAAAAATACACTCTATGATGTTCACACAATGACCAAATCACCTAACAGTGCATTTATCAGAATGTATCCCTGTCATTAAGATACCATATATATCTTAATAGCCAATGAAATGCAAATTTCAATTCAGTATGTAGTCACTGTGTGAGGGTTACAGACTATAATTTTATTTGAAATTTAGGAATAAAATGACTCAAATTTGACGGAATAGGTAATGTAACTAACTTTTCCTTTATGTTCAGAGTCATTGATAGGGCAACTATAAAGGACGTCACCATGTTCCATCAGTCTTAAACGTGATCTGGTGGCAACCTGACTGATGTTGCTGGTACTTAAAAAACAAACGAAAAACAAATCGGCATGCTAAGAATATTTTCATGGGAAAAAAACCCCAATATTATTTGGGGTGCATAATTGTTTTCTTAATGAGTCTGCACATTTTAAATTTGTGAAAATTTAAATATTAAGTATAGAAATTGTAAAGACAATTACTCATGTTTCGAATTGAGGAAGCAGCATATTTGGCATTCTAAATACTTAGAAAGTATAAGAGATTATTCTACTAGCACAGCAAATGAGCCTTGTATTTCAATATGAAGAATCAGCTTTTGGTTGTTGATTAGTTGTTTCTTATGCTTGTTTTCTGTTTCATTGATTTCTATTCTTAACTTTATTATTTCCTTCCTTCTATTTCTTTAGACTCAATTTTATGTTCATTTTCCATCTTCTTGAAATGGATGATTAGATCTTCAATTTTCAGCCTTTCTTGATTTCTACCATATATATTTAAGGTTATAAATTTTAGTCTAAACACGGCTTTATATATGTATCATAAGTTTTGATAAATAGCATTTTTATTATTTTTTAGTTTACAATTTTTGATTTGTTTTAATTTTTTGACATGTATTATTTAGAAGTGTATTGCTTCCTTTTTAAACATATGATCATTTTTCAGTTTTCTTTTTGTTTTTGTTTATAGCTAATTTCTACCATGATCAGAAATGTTAATTTTGATAAATGATTCATGTGCCCTTGATATGATTGTCTCTTTTAGAGTTATTGGGTGCAGTGCTTTATGTATACCAATTAGGCCAAGTTTATTACTCAGGCTGTTCAAATATCCTAAATCCTTATTTTTTTCTATATGCTTTTTAAGCTATGGAGAGAGTTGTGTTAAAATCTCCTACTAAGAATATGAATTCATTTATTTCTCTTTCATATTCTGCAATTTTAAAATTCGTATTATTTCAGGTTAAGTTACTAAGTCTATAAAAATTTAGAATTGCTGCATTTTCCTAATAGGTTGGTCCTTTTAGTATTATAAAAATATTCCTCTCTATAACTAGTAATGGTTTTTAACTTAAGGTCTACTTTGATATTAGTACTGCTATACCAGCTTCCTTTGAGTTAGGTTGGCATTATTTATATTTTCCAAACTTTTACTTTCAACATTTTATTTTATTTTATGTCTTCCCCTCCTTGATCTTCACTCTCAGTTCATGAGAGTTTTACTTTGCACAGAAAAAATGAAGCACTCAGAAGAAAACTGGCACAGACTTCCAGTACCACACCAGCCCATACACTAGCATGTGTGCCCACGCATTCTTCCTTTCCATATGCTGCTATATATATTTATTTAAAGACAGGGTATCCCTCTGTCCTGCAGGCTAGAGTGCAGTGGCACAATCATGGCTCAGTGTAGCCTCAACCTCCTGGGCCCAAGTGGTCCTCCCACCTCAGCCTCCTGAGTAGCTAGGGCTACAGGCATGTGCCACTGTGTCAGGCTTCTATATGTCACTGTAGATGAACTTTTTGTGACGCTGTATAAGGCACACTATTATCCACCTACTCTTGCCTGCTCCAGGCACCACTCCAGCAATCCTTACCTGTCTCCTAATTCAAGAATTTCCCACAGTGCTAGATGATCCTGATGGCAGCTACCAGCCATCTGATACAGCCACTGCCATCACACCACGACTGCACAGAAAGCACAGGGAGGAGGCAAACAGCACCGCCCTACCCTCCAACCCCCTCCCCCTGTGGGGAGAAGAAAGGAAGATCAGATTGTTACTGTGTCTATGTGGAAAAGGAAGACATAAGAAATTCCATTTTGATCTGTATTAAGAAAAATTGTTTTGCTTTGAGATGCTGTTAATCTGTAACTTTAGCCCCAATCCTGCGTTCACAGAAACAATGTGCTGTATTGATCCAAAGTTTAAGGGATTTAGGGCTGTGCAGGATGTGCCTTGTTAACAATATGTTTGCAGGCAGTATGCCTGGCAGATGTCATCGCCATTCTCCATTCTCTATTAACCAAGGGCACAATGCACTGTGGAAAGCCGCAGGGACCTCTGCCCAAGAAACCTGGGTATTGTACAAGGTTTCCCTTCACTGAGACAGCCTGAGATATGCCCTCATGGGAAAGGAAAGACTTTACATCCCCCAGCCCAACACCTGTAAAGGGTCTGTGCTGAGGAGGAGTAGTGAAAGAGGGAGGCCTCTTTGCAGTTGAGATAAGAGGAAGTCTTCAGTCTCCTGCTCGTCCCTGGGGATGAAATATCTAGGTGTAAAGCCGACCATTCCCATTCGTTCTATTCTGAGATAGGAGAAAACTGCCCTGTGGCTGGTGGCAAGATATGCTGGCAGCAATACTGCTCTGTTACTCTTTGCTACACTGAGATGTTTGTGTAAAGTGAAACCTAAATCTGGCCTACATGCACATCTAGACACAGTACCTTTCCTTGAACTTATTCATGATACAGATTCCTTTGCTCACATGTTTCCCTGCTGAACTTCTCCCCACCTGTTGACCTGCTACACTCCCCTCGCCAAGATAGTAAAAATAATGATCAATAAATACTGAGGGAACTCAAAGACCAGCGCTGGTGCAGGTCCTTGCCTGCTGAGTGTGCTGGTCCCCTGGGCCCACTGTTCTTTCTCTATACTTTGTCTCTGTATCTTATTTCTTTTCTCAGTCTCTCATCCCACCTGACAAGAAATACCCACAGGTGTGGAGCGGCAGGCCCCCTTCATCCCCCAAAGCCCACCACCCTGGGAGCCACAGTGATGGAGCTCAATCCCTGAGTGCCAGGGCCAGGCCCAGCAAAGCCCTGGAGACTCCACCCCAGGCTGCAAGGGGGCACAGCCACGTGCCACGCTCCATTGAGTGGCAGGAGAGCTGCTCAAGTCATGGCTGCGATCTGGGCCTCCTGTTCCACCGAGCAAGCAGGAGCACCATCCCCCTGGGCACAGCTGCAGCTGCCCAATCCAGCACTGCAGACCCAAGCATCCCTGCCCTCTTGGAGGGCATGAAAAGGCTCCCCATTGCCCTTGCAGGCTCAGAGATGCCTGCTCCCATTGCCTGGCCTCTCCCCACTCCCAGCGCCTGCTCAGATCTCACAGCAGGGTTGAGGCCAAGCCCAGGTGCTGTCACAACCTGGCTGGGTGTGTGCACACTCAAGGCAGCATTGACAGGCCAGCCCCCTGCTACTTAGGCTCCCTCCATTCTTTGGGCACAAAATAGTGTGGGAGGGGAAGCTGAGGGGGGTGCTGAGGGTGACTGAGCACTGGCCTGCAGGTGCCCCTCAGTGCTAGCAGCCTGGCTGCCATGGATGGCCGAGGGAGGCAGATAGGCTCCTGAGCACAGGGGGTGGGTCCCCAGTGAAGCCCCGCCTTCAGACTGGGGCAGGCCTGAAGCCTGTTGGCTGGGCTGCCAGTCCTGCAGACCAGAGGTGGAACTCATGGTGCTTTTTCCTGGGCCCACCCATTGCTTCCCATGGACCAATTAGCATGCACTTCCCTCCTCCCAGGCCCATAAAAGCCCTGGGCTCAGCCAGAGCAGAGCAGAGAATGAAGAAAGGACTGAACAGGATGGTCAACTGCAGAGAAGAGGTACCCTCTCTGCTAATAGCAGGAGAGGAGCTACCCTCCCTGTTGATAGCAGGAGACAACAAGAGGACAGGCTGCAGAGAGGAGCTACCCTCTCTGCTGAGAGCTTCAGAGACCTGCAGAGGCGCTGGGACTAGAGGAGCAACTCTATCCAGGGCCTTCTGTCTGCTGAGAGCAGCAGACGTCCAGACGACCAGTAGCAGAGAGGAGCTGTCCTCTCCAGGACCTCTTCTCTGCTGAGAGAGCTGAACACTCAACTGGATGACCTGCCTACAGAGAGGATCTACCCACTGCAGGTCTCCTCTGAGCTGTGCTAACACTTAATAAAGCTCATCTTTGTCTTCTTCACCCTTCAATTGTCTGTGTACCTCATTCTTCCCAATGCAGGACAAGAACTTGGGCAAAGGCACCGCCAGCCATGAAGGTTTCCAGCCAGAAAATCGACACCCCAAAGATCTCCATAACAATTCCCAGTAGTATATAAACAGGCAGTTTTCCCCCAACTATTTCGAAAAAAACATACAACCAGACTCATACTGGTAACATGTAAATTAAGTGCTTATTCATGGGGGGGGATATATGGAACAAATTATAGGAAACATTTGCCACTCACATCACTCATATTGCAGACAAAGAGCTTCTATCTACATTATACACAGTTTCTACAAATTAATAAAAACGCAATCACTTTACAACATGGGTAAAGGATAGAAACAACTCAGGAAACTGTAAATTATAATTTCAGTCTAATCATGTAACATGCTATCCACTACCATGAGAGAAATGAAAAACACATCCAGATACCATTTTTACCTCTCATATAGGCATAAGACAACAAGTTGGTTAAGGAGACTCTGTGGAGTACTGGTGAAGAGCCTGTGTCTGGAGGTGGAGTACATGGGCTCTGAGTCCTAGGCATAGAGTGACCTTGAACATGTCTTGACCTGTCTTTTCTTAGTTTCCTCATTAGTGAAATGGGAATCATAATTATACCTAACTCATACTGGGGTTATTTTAAGTATTCAATGTATAAATTTATGTTACATACTTAAAATAGTTCCTGGCACAGAGAAAAAAAAGCTGTTACCATTAAAACAGTATTTTGGGATGGGAAGGCTGTGAGAAAATAGTCGACTTCATCCATTGTTGGCGGAAATAAAAATTATTACAAAAACTCCCATGAAGGGCATTTTGGCACAACCTAGCAAAATTACAAATGAAGACATCCTTTCACTAAGCAATTTCACTTTTGTGAATTTATCTTAACAAATATACTTGAACATTTGAAATGATATACATACGAGTTTAGTCACTGCAGCACTGTTTGCAAATGCTCATCAGTAGGTAGTGGTCAAATAAGTTAGATGCATTCACTCATTAAAATATTAATACTATTCACCTCAGCTGATCTGAGTGCAATGGTGTTTACAACTGATTGATCACAACAAGTTACAGATGTCTTTGTTCCTTCTCCATTCCCACTGCTTCTCTTGACTAGCCTTAAAAAAAATTTTAAAAATGAAATACTATTCAGCTAACTCTCTGCATACTGACCACATCACCTCTTGCCATTCCTTGAAAATGTTAAACATACTTCTATTTCAGACTCATTGCTACTGTTCTTTTGCTTTCAGTGCATTTCCTTAGATATACTTGTGGCTTGCACTATCATTTCTTTCAGGTGTGTGTTTACTTTATCAGAAAATCTTTTTGTGATCACCCTATAAAAGAGCATGCCTCCATCTAGTCATTCTTGAACAACCCTCCCTCCCCCGCCACCCTTCACATACATTATTTTTCTTCATGGCATTTACCACCACCTGAGATTATAATGCATGAAGGCAGGCAGGCATGCATGCGTCCACACACACACACATATACACACACCACAATAATTTATAGGTTTATTTCTGGATCTTGTCTCTTCCATAGAGAATAAGCGCCATGAAAGCAGGGGCACGATTGCTTTTGTTCGCTATTTTATCCTTTGTGCCTAGAACAGTGATTGAAAATGTATCAGGAATTCAAACACTGTTAATAGGGTTCTCTCTTGACAACAAGACAATCCATTTATTGGCTCTGCTTCCCTTTGTGGTTTGGCCTCATTCTCTTCTATTGCAGACAAGCTCTCAAGAGCTAGCTGCCAACAAATTCATATTCATTTTCCCATTTTAGGAACCCCAAGTCAAGTAAGGGAGCTGATTTGAATAGAATCACTTTAGAGACAGGGGATGTTTACATGCATGGGAAAGCAGCATTTAGTTCCCCTGATGCTTAACCAGTGGATTTAGTTCCCCCTCTGCTTAACCAGTGGATTTGCTATTTATACATTTTAGATGAATGATAGCCTGGAAAACACATTTCTACACCTTCTATTGATTAAAATGTTGAAGTATTGAAGCCTCCAAGACATTGGGAATTTTCTATTTCTCTTTTCAGTTCTGTAAGTTTTTACTTCATACATTTTGAAACTCTGTTAGGTACATACACATTTAAAGTTGTTATGTCTTCCTGGCAAATTGTCCTATTATTATGTAATGCTTCTCTTTTTTCCTGGTGGTATTCCTTGTCCTGAAGTCTACATTTTCTGATGTTAATACAGCCAATCAAGGTTTTCTAAAATTACCTTTGGAATGGTATACCTCTTCCATCCTTTTACTTTTAACTTCTCTGTCTTTATATTAAAAGGAGATTTCCTGTTGACAGCATATAGTTGTGTCTTGCTTTTTAAAAAAAAATCTAGTCTGATGATCTCTGTTATTTAATTTATATGTTTATACCACTTTACACTTAATATAATTATTTGTATGGTTGAAATGTAATCTATTAATTTGCTAGCAGTTTTCTATTTGTTCTATTTGTTTTTTCTTTTCCCCTGTTTTTCTGCATTCTTTTGGATGGAGTTTATTTTATCATTCCATTTTAATCTAATGTATTTGCTTATTATTATATTTTAAATAAAAAGTTTAATACTTGTCCTAGGATTTATAGTAGACATCTTTATTTAATTGCAGTCTGTCTAATTCATAATATTACATAGCATCACATGTTACGTAAGGGCCTTACAACAGTGTACTCTCAATATCTTTCTCCCACCCTTTGTGTTATTTTAAATCATACATACTTTTGCATATGCTATAAACATAATACATTGCTACTAATTTTACTTTAGATGGTCTACTATGTTTTAGAGTCAATTATAAATAAGAATATAATAAATATATTTACTTCCATTCATGCCATTTTCAGCATTTTTTATTTATATAGATTCAAAATTCTTTCTGGTATCTTTTTTTCTGAAGAATTTACTGTAACAATAATTATAGTACACATCTGCTGGAAATGAATTCTTTCAGTTTTTGTTTTTAATCTGAAAATGCATTTCTTTTATTTTTGAAATTTTTTTTTCTTTTTTCTTTTTCTTCTTTAAAATTTTTTTAAAAAATTTGAGATGGGGTCTCACTTTGTTACCCAGGCTGGTCTTGAACTCTTGGGTTCAAGTAATCCTCCTGCCTTTGCCTCCCAAAGTGTTGGGGTTACAGGTGTGAGTCATCACACCCGGCCTTGAAAGATTTTAAAATTTGAGTAAAGTATTCTGGGTTAACAGTTTTTTTCTTTCAATATGTTAAAAGGTCACTCTACTGTCTTTTGGTTTGCATGGTTTATGAAGAAAAGTCTACTGTAATCTTATCTTTGTTTCTATGTGTGCAATGTGTCTTTTCTGCCTCTTTCTGCCTTCAAGATTTTCTCTTTATCTTTGATTTTAACAGTTTGAATACGATGTACCTAAGTGTATTTTCTATTTGTTATTTATCCTACTTGATGTCCTCTGAGCTTGATGTCCTGGAGCTTATGATTTGGTATCTTTTATTAATTTTACTGTTTGAAAAAAATACATGGCCATTTTCTCTTTAAATATTTCTTTTGCCTCATTCTCGCTTCTTCTTCTGGGATTTGAATTACATGCATATTACACTTTTTGATACTGTTTTACAACACTTGAATACTCTGTTCTTTTTTATCACTTTTTTTGTGTATCTCAGTTTGGGCAAATTTAGTTGGCCTGTCTTTAAACTCGCTGCTTCTTTCTTCAGCTGTGTTGAGTCTGCTGGTGAGCTTGTCACAGGTATTCTTCATTTCTGTTACTTTTGTTATTTGATTTGTTAGCTTAAGTTTCATTCTGTTATTTCCAAATGTGAAAGATGTAGAAGTCAGAATACGAATTTGACTATAAATCTTTTATTTCTTCTTTTGCCTCTCAATTTTTTAATTATCTCATTTCTACATTATCAGAACACACAATATTTACATTCCATAATTATTCTTAGTCTCCACTTTTATTTGTTTTAATTCATTTAGTTTTAATTTAGTCTTAATTTATGAATTCAGTCAATGCTCACTACTAATCATTTGTTTCTGTGTTCCAATCATCTTTAGGTGGGCTATAGTTTGTTATGTATGAATTTTTCAAAAAGACTTTAAGGAACATCTCCTTGAGGAATATGTGTTCTTGCATTCTGGCATTTTTAAAACAGTTGATCTTTTTTCTTTACACACAAGTTACAGTTTGGCAATCTATAAAATGTTTGGGTCATATTTTCTTTCTTTGAGAATTTGGTAGTTATTATTACATTATTTTCTGAGATGCAATTTTGTTGCCAATAAGTCTGAGATTAGCCTGATTTTATTTTCCTTTATAAGTTAGCTGATCTTTTTTGCCTAGATATCCAAAAGATTCTTTATTTTTGAAGTCCAATAAATTTAATATTCTTCAGGGTTAATCATTTTTAATCGACTTTTTGTGACTCATGATGTGCCTTTTCAATACTAGGTCAAGTTTCCTTTGAAATAAAAAACGCTTTCTGAAATGTTTTTGTTTCTGTTCCACATTTCTCTTTCTTCTTTGTTCCCCCTGATTATGAGTACTTTAAGGCTCTATTGCCTACTTTTTGTATCTATCATAGTTTCTTTACTCTTTCTAAGGTTTTTATTTTCAGTTCAATTTGCCTATTTTTTCATTTTTATCTTCTATGTCACTTATTGTGTTTTCTACAATATTTCTTCTCTTTTCAGGTCCTTTTAATTTTACCATGATTGTTTTAATTATTATTTCTTTCACTTTTTCCATGTGCTGTGCCAGCTAATTTCATATCCTTATGCCATTTCTTCCATGGGTTTTTGCATGTTTATTTTGTATCTTGACTTATAAAAGCAATTAGCTCATCGTATTTGTTTAAAATCATGGCAAAATATGTGTTCACAGTATCTGTCTGTTCCATAGCAATAATTTTCTGATGAGTGCTCTTCATCAATTACCTTTTTTTGCTTTTCCTTTCTGATTTTTTAAAGAATCTCTGTATAGAATACTGGCAAGGATGTTGGGAAGTGGGAACCCTTGTACCCTGGTGGTGGGAATGCAAATTAGTATAGCTACTATGGAGAACAGCATGGGGGTTACTCAAAAACTAAAAATAAGACTACCATATGATCCAGCAGTCTCACTGCTAGATCTATACCCAAAGAAAGGAAATCAGTGCATCAAAGAGTTATCTGTACTCCCATGTTTACTTCAGCACTGTTCACAAGAGCCAAGGTTTGCGAGCAACCTTAGTGTCCATTAACAGATGAATGGATAAAGAAAATTTGGTACTTACACACAATGGAATACTATCCCATCATAAAAAAATCTGATCTCATCATTTATAAAAACATGGATGGAACTGGAAGATGTTATGTTAAGTGAGATAAGCCAGGCACACAAAGACAAACTTCATATGTTCTCATTCATTTGTGGAAGCTAAATGTTAAAACAATTGAATTTATGGAGATAGAGAGTAAAATGATGGTTACCAGAGCCTGGATAGGGTAGTGAGGAACAGGAGGAAAAGTGGGGATTATTACTGGGTACACAAATATAGTTAGAATGAATAAGATCTAGTGGTTGATAGAACAACACGTTGACTACAGTCAAAAATAATTTATTGTACATTTTAAGATAACTACAAGAGTATAATGGGAACATTTGTAACACAAAGAAATAATAAATACTTTAGGTATTGGATATCCCATTTACCCTGATGTGATTACAGATTGTATGCCTGTATCAAAATATCTCATGTGCCCCATAAATATATATAGCTACTATGTACCCATAAAACTGCAAAGTAAAAAATTAAAAAAGATTTTCCACTAATAGGTGGGAATCGAACAATGAGATCACATGGACACAGGAAGGGGAATATCACACTCTGGGGACTGTGGTGGGGTGGGGGGAGGGGGGAGGGATAGCATTGGGAGATATACCTAATGCTAGATGATGAGTTAGTGGGTGCAGCGCACCAGCATGGCACATGTATACATATGTAACTAACCTGCACAATGTGCACATGTACCCTAAAACTTAAAGTATAATAAAAAAAAAAAAAAGATTTTCCATATAGGTTCTGTACTAGTCCCTTTCAATTATTTATTATTAAAGTGTTTTCTTTCTTTGCTGGATTTCTGAACCAGCTCTTTGAAGGAAGTTTATGGGAAAGGTAGAGGCCAGGACCTTGTTCCAGGATAGCCGGGATTTTTCTTATGACCTAGGAATTTATGAGAGAGTTTATACAGCTTTTACTATTTCCCAAACAGTTGAGATAAGTGGTATTCCCTTCCCCCAACACCCAACACACACACACACACAACTCAAATACTGTTCTCTTTCCTACTGCCCCAGAGAAGCACTACTTCCTGGAAACATGGCTTGTCTATGTGACATTCCATTTGGCCATACTTCTGCTTCTAGAAACAAGTAAAGCTGTAGCTCACCACTGCCTCCTACATCCTTGCAAACAGGAAACACTGTTTTTGTCCTTCAAGACATTCATATCAATTTTGTAAAGTGTAAAATTTTCAGTTTTTTTCTAATATATATAGCAATTGGGTCCTATCACCAGTTCTTTCTCTCACTGTGCTATCTTCTCTCAGTATCCTCCCTTGTGAAACTGGTTTTCATTCACCTTGTTGCCTTCAGATGACTTTTTGGCAGACATGAAAAACATGCTGATTTTATGTCAACCTACATACATTTTAAATTTCTTGGACTATAACTTTCTTGAAGCACTCTGTAAAATATGGCAATCCAAAAAGATAAGGATAAAAGTGAAGCATAGTTAATAGGCCTATTCGTTGTGTGCCAGCTACTCTGCTAGTACAGGAGATAAAATATTGTGCTAGACAGACACTGTCTCTTATATTCCAGTTATAGAGACCAAAAGAAAAAGAATAAGAAGACCTAAATATAACAGTTGAAAGTTATAGTAAGTGGACTGAAGAAAAGAATATACCGGCAGGGCACAGTGGCTCACGCCTGTAATCCCAGCACTTTGGGAGGCCGAGGTGGGCAGATCACGAGGTCAAGAGATCGAGGCCATCCTGGCCAACGTGGTGAAACCCCGTCTGTACTAAAAATACAAAAATTAGCCGGGCATGGTGGTGTGTGCCTGTAATCCCAGCTACTCGGGAGGCTGAGGCAGGAAAATTGCTTGAACCCGGGAGGCGGAGGTTGCAGTGAGCCGAGATTGCACCACTGGACTCCAGCCTGGTAACAGAGGGAGACTCCATCCCCTGCCCTCCCCCAAAAAAGAATATGCCAATCACATGATAGATATGACAGCTACTGGTGTCAGGTTCAGGTTAGATTGGCCTTTGTTTTTACTTTAGAAATTTAGCCACAAATGGTTTTTAAAACTTCAGGCAACATCTTTCTTTACTTGGCAAACTTGGAAATGTAGGTTCTATCCATTTGCCAGGGCTGGCTTTGTGGCTAACCAGAGATTTATGAGAAGGTTTGAGTAGCTCAGTTTTTTTTCCATGGAATGCCACAAAGTTAATGTTATCTTTCTCTTCATGGGACCTTACTTCTTAGTTTAAAAAATTAAAACACAATGTTTCTTATTGGATAAAAATACATATATTTGACTTAATAAAAAGTTAATAAGTCTTAAAATAAAAAAACTAGACATGTCCCTGATCTTAGCGAGCCAATGTTAAATGCCTTTCTTTTCTTCTTTGGGCACTGGAAATTTTAGCTAGAGTTTAATTGTGTCTAAGGCATCATGCCCATTCCTGATATAGATTAGAGCAATAAATATAATAATCTATAGGTTAGGCCAGCAACCTTATGCCAAAAGATGTTTGGATGTTAGGAAAAAATTTAGAAAAATCAGTCAAAGGCATTTGAAGAAAACAATGTAAATGTGCGAAAGAATGCAAAGATGAAAATTCTAAGTTAATGGAGAATATGAGTGCTTTCTTTTATTCAATTAACAAAGGAGTTTTGTAAATTTGTTTTCACCTATGATCTTTTACAAAGTCAAATAATTAAGGATACGTTACAGCCTCTTACTAGTTCTCAGGAATAATTTATAGAACACTAGAATAACTGTTTCCATCCATTTTCTATTAAAGTTTGTTTATTTTGCAAAAAAGTACAGATAATAATAGAAAATATCTTGCACAGCATACCTTTTTGCCCTCTTTTAAGAAAGCAATTTTTTCTTTTCTTTTTTTTTTTTTTTTAGAGATGGGTATCTCACTATGTTTCCCAAGTTGGTCTGGAACTCCTGGGCTCAAGCAATCCTCCCTCTTCAGCCTCCCAAAGTGCTGGGATTTCAGGCATGAGCCACTGCGCCCAGCAAGAAAGCAAATTCATTTTCATTTTACCTGCACAGGGTAACTATTTAAATTTCTTGGACTATAACTTTCTCGAAGCATTCTATAAAAATGGTCAAAGAGTTATCCATACAGAGCACTAAAGAGTGAGTATTGCAGCAGGTTATAAAAACTAGTTAAGGGATTCCAAAGAATTAGGCTACATTCTATTACTTATATTATTCTTTGACCCTTCTGTCCTGCAGACTCCTTTATTTATGAACTCACATGATAAACTAAGACAATTTTAATCTAGTTTCATATTGTTAATAGCCAATCATACCCCGAGGTCCAAAGTGTAACTTCCTAAACTGAAAATGTTGAGGTGCTCTAACTATACTCTGATGATCTTGAAACTATTCATTTGTTTTTCTCTCATATACTTAGAGAAATGTAGAATATATTTAAATGTAAAACATTATGATTTGTTTTTCATTAGGTTAGATAGTATAAATCTCCCTTAGCATCATGAAAATCTAATCTAGTATTTTTCTTTTTCCCTGAAATATTTATTCATCTTTAAACAACATAACAAGGATGTGGTGATGCTTTTAATGCTGCTATATTACATTCAAACCTCACTCTCTATGTTAGTGCTGAAGACCAATAAATAGCTCCTGGTGGCTCTTGGAAGCTGAAAAACCATGTATGATAAAATATGGCTGGAATAGAGTCTTATCCTGTAGGCCTTAATGGCAAGGAAACAGAATGATTTTAATGTCATGAATCTCAGGGAATTTTGCAGTTTTAGTTAGTTTAGCCTCACAGAACTCTAATTTAATTCGGTTAAGAAGGAACTAAAAGGAAAATAGCTTATACTACTTCATGTGGATATATAAACACACAGAGTCTCTGACCTCAAGATTAATTATGTAGCTATTTTTCATTATAACCTACACTATTTGATCTGATCATATAATCATCTCGAAGGGGTAAAAGGGAACTTTTTCTCTTAGCTGTGGCATGAAGACATTTTTAAAACATTGATCCTCTCTTTCCAATTTCTCTCAAATTTCCATTTGAGGATCTAGGCTCTCTGAACTTGTCTCCTCAGAGAATGATACAATATGAAGTAGAAGGGAAAACAGAGTCTTCCTTGCTTTGGTTTTTAAAATCCAAAGCCTTAGGAGAAACAAGGATAATCCTGGCACAGAAAAAAAAAAAAAAAAAGCAGATTAGGAGCCTATTCCACAAGCTACATGGAGGGAAGAGGGCAGGAGTTAGATGAAGGAGAGTGGATTTGTGGGTAGGAACCAGAGAGCTGAGCCTTGCTCCACCCATTTTATGGGGTTGGAGTCCCTAAAAGATGGCAGGATCCTGGAGAGGTTTTGGAGAGACTGGATGAGAAACTGTCTCCCAGTTCCTGGTATACAGCCTTGGCAGAAATTTGAGGTGCCTGGGAGCAGAGGTCATTAACTACCTCTCTCCCTTAGTAGAGTCCTGATGAGAATGGAGCGCTGCACATTGAGTCCAGGCCCACGGAGCCAAAGGCAGACCTAGATTCCTGTGCTTCAGACCTTGACAGAAGCAGCAGAATAATTGTTGTCTCTCAAGTGTGATGAGAAAGAAACAAAAAGAGTTGCCACACCTGAAGGGGTCATGTGGACAGGAAGAGGGATATCTCCTTACAACCTGAGTGGACTGATGACTCAGGACTAGATAACTGTGCAGACAGATGACTGAAGATCTTGTGCCTCCCCACAGGGTGGTGGCACCACTCAAGCCTTCCATTTAGACACAGGTCTCGAGAAATTCCTAGGTCTCCAACTGACTGTGGTTAAGTTTGGGCCACCTAGTATATTGAGGACTCAAAATAGAAATCGCTGGAAAGGAAGAAAGTATGACACATTAGGCCAGTTGGTCCATCTCTTTCCCAGGGACTAGCTCTGCAATTTGGGGGCTATAGTCAGACCACAAAATACTCACTCCTTTACATCTTTCCCTCAGGGCAATGGATGCCTGAATGCCTGATATTTATATGATTCTTTTCTGCACCATCAGCCCATATGCTCCACTGAGCACTGGACATTTTCACTTGGATGTCTCAAAAGTACCTTATAGTCAAAATATTCAAAATCAGTTCTCTTCAGTGTGTGGTCTCATGAGTGAGACCCTTTGTAACCATACTAGTGACAAAGTCAGCAACCTGCCCTGGTCTTCAATAGCCCCCTTTCTGTCACCACCCATTTTCAATTTATCACTTCTCTCCATTTCTACAAACTATCACTTAAGCCCAAGCTACCATGACCCTTCCCTCTGATGGGGTCTACCTGCATTCACTCTGTGCTTCTTAGTCATTCTCTACACTGCAACCTGAATGATTTTCAAAAGGAAACTCTGAGCATGTTGTTCCTCACAACTCACCCCCAATACCTCACTCAGATTCCATTATGCCAAATAATTAGCAAGGTGACAAAAGCTCTGCATGAGCTGTCTGCCGTGTCTTTGCTCAGCCTCACCTTGAGCCATGCTCCTCTCACTTGCTGCACCCCAGGCACGCTGGCCTCCTTTCCCTTCCATAAACAAGAAAAGCTCCTACTGCCTCAGGGCTCCTACCCACTCATTCCTCCAGGAATACTGTTCTTCCCATCCTCAGTAGGCAATTCCTACTCATATCTGAGATCTCAACTCATTCTCCCTAACCTTGCATATCAGTTAAGTCCTCCATCAGTGGTCTCCAAGCACTAGGTATCTCTCCTTCATAGCTATGATCACACCTGCACTGTTTATTTATTTGTAATTATTTTGTTACTCTTTGCTTTCCCCATTAGACCGTCAACCCAATGAGCAGTGAGACAATTCTGGACTCTCATTTCATCCACAGTGACCCAGGCACCCAATTATTGAATGCTTTTAGAAGTCTTCTCAAATGAATCTCTATGAACAGCAGTAATAACGGTTAGTACTCTTTAAGAACTCTCTCAAGGCCAGCATTATTTGAAGCATTCATTCTATGTGTTAGCTCTCACAACATCATGTGAGGTAGGCAGTGCCATTGTTATCTCTGGTTTTTGGGTGGAAAACAGGCACAAGCTTCCCATAGCAGGCAAGGAGCTCTGAGATCATGCTCATCCCCAAAAAACCTCACTGTTTCAGAATATGTGCTCCACCCAAGAGGGGCAGCTGCCAATGCCCCATTTCATGAGAAGTTATGAATTTCATCTATATCAAATTATATTAATTATAAGACCATAGGAAACTTGCACACATTAAATTCTCATGGAATTTATATGCATTCTCCATCTATTTAATTAACACATATTGAGCACTTACCAAGTGCAGGTTATGTGCTAGAAATTAAAACACAGGAAGGAGAATGAGATGATCCCTCATTGAGATAGATGGTGAGGGAGAGATAGATGAAGACAGAAATAAATCACTCGGTACAGTTTGATGGAGCCAATACGATTTGACTCTGCGTCCCCATCCAAATCTCATCTCGAATTGTAATCCCCACAAGTCAAGTGAGGGACCTGGTGGGAGGTGATTAGATCATGGGAGTGGTTTTCCCCATGCTGTTCTCGTGTTAGTGAGAGAGTTCTCACGAGATCTGATGTTTTAAAAGTGGCAGTTTCCTCTGAACTCTCTCCCTCCTGCCACCATGTAAAAAGATGCTTCTCCTTCACCTTCCGCCATGATTGTAAGTTTCCTGAGGCCTCCCAAGCCATGCGGAACTGTGAGTCAATTTAACCTCTTTTGTTTATATATTACCCAGTCTCAGGTAGTATCTTTATAGCAGTGTGAAAACAGGTTAAAACAGGAGCCATTATGGAGATGTCTACAAAGTGCTGGGGAGAGGGAAGGACGGGGAACCAACAATCAGGTTTTCCTAGTAGGTGAGGGTGGTCAAGAAAATCATCTGTTACCTCTTGGTTTCCCTATGTGAAAAATGACTCATGGAATCCTGTGAAGGATTCCCAATACCCCTTATGCTCCTCCGTAATTTTCGTAGCCCCAGTATTTGTTTGCTAGGGCTGCTATAACAAAATGCCATCAAGAGAGCGGCTTAAGAAACAAAAATTCATTGTCTTGTGGTTCTAGAGGCGGGAAGTCTGAACTCCGAAGGGCAGGGTTGGTTCCTTCTGTGGGCTGTGAGAGGGACCATCCCGCGCCTCTCTCCTAGCTTCTGGTGGTTGCTGGCAAACTTTAGTGTTCCTTGACTTACAGATTCATCACCCAGTCTCTGCCTTTATGTTCACATGGCATTCTTCCTGTGTGAGACTCTGCTTCTCTCTGTCCAAATTTCCGTTTTTTATAAGGACACTAGTCATACTGGATTAGGGCCCACCCAAATGACTTCATCTTAACTTCACAGTAATATCTGCAACAACCTTATTTCCAAATGTCACATTCTGAGGAAGTGGGTGTTAGAATTTCAACATACGAATTTTGGAGTGGAGAACACAATTTAATGCATAACAGCTCTTTTCATCTCTCAGCAAACTAGGTAACATTTATTTTTAATGTTTATTATTAAATTTATTATATTTATCATTATAAAGGATAAATGTTTAAATTTATAATAAGTAAATTAATTTAATTGATAGTTAATTAATATTAATATTTATTTTAATAAGTAGTAATTTAATTATTTTTATTTATTTTTGCTTATTGTTACCGTTTTTGCTTATTTTTTGTTCTTTTGGTTTTTGACCCTGACTATAATATAAGCTCCTTGGGGGAAATAATGTATGATTATTTGTTCACTGATGTATCCTGCACACCTACAACAGCACTTGGCTAATCAGAGGCAATCAGTAGATTTTTTTTTTTGAGACAGAGTTTCACTCTGTCATCCAGACTAGGGTGCAACAGTGTGGTCATGGCTCACTGCAGCCTTAAACTCCTGTGCTCAACAGATCCTCCCTCCTCAGCCTCCCCAGTAGCTAGGAATACAGACATGTACAACCACACCCAACTAATTTTTATTTTTATAGAGATGGGATCTTGCTATGTTGCCTAAGCCAGTTTCAAACTCCGGGCTTCAAATGATCCTCCTACCCTGTCCTCCCAAAGTGCTGTAATTACCGGCATGAGCCATTGTGCCCAGCCAGTAAATATTTTTTAAATGAACGAATGAATCAACAAGAAAGAAACAGGTAGAATGGAAAGGGTTTGTTTGTCTGTCTCCTACCCTCATTGTACTTCTGGGTTGCAAAGAAATGCTGCAACTAGATATAAACTATGCAAACAGATGATAAACAAAAATAAATAAAATAGTTCAGGGTAGGGGGGAATGTCTGTGTTGGGAAAGATGAGAAGACAAAAAGAATGACAATTTATAGCCTTAATTTTCCCTCTTCTCATTCTTAGAGGTTCTCCCATAAGAATTTTTGAGAATTAAGAGAGCTACCCAACCTCTAATCTTGTGGCTTTGAATCCTGCTAGGTGGCCCATTTACTCCCGATCATCTCCTATGAGCAGCTGACCTCTTTGGATTTTACATTTAAAGTATCCAAGACCAGAATTTCACTTTCTGGGCTGAAACAAAAGCATCCTATGATGTATCTGGTATAGAGTTGCAGACAAAGACAACTAGATGGATTTTTTTTTTAAAATGCCACCCACAGAAAAGCATTTTTGAGGAAAATTCTTCAAAGAATCAAAACCATCATTCTCCACCCTCTTCGAGTTTGTCTCTGTGCAGTGGTCGCATTGTATCACATAAACGTTGCTTTGCTCGTGTGATAGATCATCTCTTCTGAAACTCATTCTTCAGCAATATAACATGAATGGGATTGAATGTCTTTGTACAGAATCCTATTTTATGGGTTTGTGTGGTTGGTGGGTGTCCATCAAAAACCATTTTTAAAATAAGCACATCTGCATTTTCCCCCCCTCTGCTAGGAAATGACCAGGACTGTACTCTTCTCTGGGGGCCAGTACTGGGACGAAGCCACACAAGGTTTCTCTCCCTGCCACATAGGTCTGCTTTTGTCGACTGCAGTCCTGATTCTTATATTGGCTCCCTTGTATTTTTTAGAGATAAATAGGCAATCTCTTTCTTAGATCGTTTTTATCTCTCTGACCCTCATTTCCTCCTCTTTTCAATCCATTCATAAACCCAAAACCTGCTTCAGCATACTTCTATTAAAGTATCTATAAAAGCAGGAGGGAGGCTGCCCCCATGTCAGCAACCTGCGGGAGTCTCGAGCTCTCAGGATGCATGGTCCTCAGCCAGGGCACAACCTAATGGGGTTTTGGGAGGTGCTGCCTGTCACCTCTCCTGGGGCCAACAGATGACAAAGTCTCCATCCATCATTGCAAGGTCTCAGGTCTGAAGTCCACTGCGGTCAGCCTTCCCTGGTGGTGAGCTGCTGTCAGAACCTCCCCACTACTCCTCTGGGTGGCCCCAGTCTTGTGCCTATTTCCCTCTCGTGGTCATCAAGTCTCGCCCAGGTAAGTGACCTGCCCACAAGGGACATTCTGCTTGAGAGCCTTTTAAAAAGTCAGGTTTATTATGGCATAACTTAAACAGTAAAGTACAGTTGGATGGGTTTTGACAAATGCATGTGGCCCTGAAACCAGTACCACAATTTAGATACAATATTTTTGTCACCTTAGAAAGTCCCATTGGGCCCCTTGGAACTCAATTCCCTTCTCCACCCTCAGCCATATACAGTAGGTAATGAATATTTGATTAGCAAATATTTAGTCACCTATTAGACAAAGTGAGTTCTAATGTCCAGTAACAAGAACTCAGTCCAAATGCCACAGGAACAAAGAAACCAGCCATTTAACCTACCAAACACAAAATACACCAGGAAAAAACAGGACAAAAAAAAAGCAAGAGGGAAACAAATGTTTTAATAAAATAATTGCATTTTGCAAAACCGTAAACTCCTAAGCCTTCTGAAAAAGTCTGGAAGTTCCCTTCAGAATATCTATAGAAGATCCTGTCTCTTCATTTCACTCTAATCGTAAACATTTTTTTCCCAAGCAGTGATATTTACAATAAAAATTTAAAAACATTTATTGATTTGTTTGATAATTACTAGTATAGTCAGTCTTTAATTTACAAATGGGTTGTGATTTGAAAGTTCACTAGTAAATCAAATGCTTCTTAATATTTTTTCATAACTATGTTGTCAAAAATGAGTACACAAGTATTGTATAAGAGTATTATAATATTTATTAGTTGCCTGAATTCTAGATTCCAGAACCTGGGAACCAAGTAGTGCAGAATCAAGGTACATATACGATAAATTTTTAGGAAGTAACAGGACTTGACATGGATCAGAATATAAAAGTGACCTCTATGGAAGAATAAAATAACTACTCCTATGATTTAGATTTGGATAACTAGGTGGATGGCAATGTTACCAATTGAGAGATAGAATGAGGAGTGGAACTGGGGTGAGAGGATAGCAAGTTACATTTGACGTTTGTCCCTACATGGGACATTTAGGTAGAGAAGTCTAGTTGGAGTTGGATATATAATCTGAAGTTTGGGGAAGATGTCATCTGCATAGAGGCAATTGTTGAAACCACAAGACTAGATGAGATTTCCTAAAAGAGTATATGGTATGAAAAATGCAGTTGACCAAAACGTGGAGGAAACCTAAATATATAATATATGGTTCCATAAAGAGTGAGAAAAAAATCAAAAAGACTTTTTGGAATATCATTGTATTATTCTCCAAAAAATTAAAGCATGCAAAGTAAATCTGAGTTAAGTATCACATAAACCTGAATCTCAAAAAGGTTATGGAACAAAAGTGTCAAGCTTTCATAAATTTCCGCTGGCCACTACAGTCTGCCAATCTACCAGTTGCATTATAATTACCTGAGAAGCTTTTTAAAGATAAAAATTCTAAGCCTGCTGCTGTGTATTTTGATTTAGGAGGTATTTCACAAGACTCAAAACTGACCATTTGTAAAAGATTCTAAATCTGACATTGTGCCAGCTTTGTAAACTTCTTCTTCATAAAACTTTCACTCCTCACTGCCTCAAGTTGCACACAACGTTTTTTTCTTATAGAAGAAAATAAGTCTGGATGTATTTATTGAACGTGGGAATGCATAGCTAATGACAGAAAGTACCTTCCATTTTCCTACTAGCACAAACCTTTGTGACTAAGAGAAACGTATAATTGCCAAGCTAAGAAACACCTGTAAATAAAAGAGATAGTTATTATAAAAATGAGCACCTGTACAGTGTTTATTTTATTGAAAAGATAATGGTTTAGAGGAAGAATCCAAGCTATAATAAAATTAATTATTGTTCTGCAAGCCACCCTAAAGAAGGGTTTCCAATGAAAGGAATTCATTGTCACTATTCAGCTATGCACATGACTGCCCGTATGTCAACTGCTATGGCTGCTTTTTGACCTGCAACATTTGATACTTGGATGGTTTCACACAGTTTTAGCCATTCAGTATTCCACAGAATGCTGGTTTTCCTCAAGATGTTACTAAGTGGTGCACTAAGTAAGTATTTGTCACATAATTTTAAAAATTGCTAATTACTTTATCTTTTGGAGTTTCACAAAGAATATTAGCAATATTAAAGGCCTTGAAAAGTCATGCAATCAAGATCCAGTTGATTTTGTTTATTCTATTGTTTCCTGCTATGGTTTGAATGTGTCATTCAAAAGTTCATGTGTTGGAAGTTTAATTCCCAATGCAGTAGCGTTGGGAGGTGGGGCCTAATAAGAGATGATTGGGTCATGAGGGCAGATCCCTCATCGATTAACATCATTATTGCAAGAGCAGCTTAGTTATTTCCAGAGTGAGTTGTTATAAAGCAAGTACAGCCCCTGGTGCCTCCTTCTCTGTATTGTGTGCTCACTTCTGCTTCTGCCCTTCACTATGGAATAATGCAGCACAAGGTCCTCACCAGACACCAGCACCATGCTCTTGGACTTCCCAGGTTCCATAACTGTAAGAAATAAATCTCTTTTCTCCATAAAATACTCAGCCTGTCTGTTAAAGCAACATAAAACAGACTAAGATATTTCCCAAATTTCTTATGACCACATGCTTTTTACATGAAACACAGTGTTAGAAATGTTGCTCCATATAATACCATGAAAAAATTTTAAATTCCAATGAGATCAAGAAAAAGAATAATTGGTGGTCATTTGTTGAATATGAAATGAACAGAGCCTTAATATAATTTGGAATAATAGCATTTGACTGTAAATCTTGATAGTACACAGTTTCTAGGCTAAGATAGAGTATCTAAGCATATTAGTAGGGTAAATAACAATTTCAAAGGAAATATTTTAGAAATTTAAGGCAGCCTACTAACTTCAAATCTTTTAGAAATATTCATCTCTCTAAACTTATTAGTCTAATTAAGAATATTACTTCCTATTTATTGAAGTAATTCCTAGGAGCTTTTTCTTACTAATGCTATTCAATATCCAACCTACCTTTCTGGTTGCTTTCCCCCAAACCCCGGTCACTACTCCAGACTCCACAGCACTCTCAAACACAAAATGAATTTTCAAAATCTTCACACCCTTGCTCACACTGTCACATTGGCCTAGAATTTCTTCATGATTCCTTTTGCAAAACTCCACTCAATTACTTGTTTTTCTGTGATCTCCTCCACAAACCACTAATGACCTTTATCACATTGTATCAGGTTTGTATAAATTTATCTCCCCTCCAAAGTTGTGAATCCCAAGAGAAAAAGAACTAAGTCACATTTACTTGAGTATCACGTAAGAAAGTAGGGTTTTAATATATTTTTACTGTAATTAAATGTAGAATATTCTATAATTCATTCTTTTTCCTAATTAAAATTAATATTCTCCATTGGTCTGAATAAAAGAAATTTAGCAGAAGGCATAAAACAAATTCTAACCCCAACAAAATTCTTCCCTTAAAGTTTGGGCCCACATGGAGATCTAATTTATAATAGTTTGTTGAAGGCTGGCAAGAAAGTATTGAGGAGGCTCACCATATAAATCCTTTAGACACAGTGGAGTTGATTAGGGATGCAGAAGCTTTGGACCAGCAATAAAGCATTTTGTCCTGATGCAAAACCTAAAATTTGACAATATAAGTGTATTAATCTGTTCTCACACTGCTAATAAAGACATACCAAAAACTGAGTAATTTAGAAAGAAAGGGGGTTGAATTGACTCATAGTTTAGCATGGCTGAGGGGGCCTCACAATCATAGCAGACAGTGAATAGGGGCAAAGTAACCTCTCACATTATGGCAGGCAAGAGCACATGTGCAGGGGAACTGCCCTTTATAAAACCATCAAATCTCATGAGACTTATTCACTGTCATGAGAACAGCACATCCACCATGACTCAATCACCTCCCACCGGGTCCCTCCCATGATGCATGGGGACTATGGGAGCTAAAATTCAAGATGAGACTTGGGTGGGGGCACAGCCAAACAATATATTTCCATCTGGCCCCTCCCAAGTCTTACGTCCTCACATTTCAAAACCAATTATGACTTCCCAAGGGTCCCCCAAAGTCTTAATTTATCTCAGCATTAACTTGAAAGTCCACAGTCCAAAGTCTTATCTGAGAAAAGGCAAGTCCCTTCTGCCTAGGAACCTGTAAAATCAAAAGCAAATTAGTTACTTCCTAGATACAATGGAGGTACAGGCATTGGGTAAATACAGCCATTCCAAATGGGAGAAATTGGCCAAAATGAAGGGGCTACAGGCCCCATGCAAGTCTGAAATCCAGCAGGGCAGTCAAATCTTAAAGCTCCAAAATGATCTCCTTTGACTCTATGTCTCACATCCAGGTCATGCTGATGCAAGAGATGGGTTCCCATGGTCTTGGGCAGCTCCACCTCTGTGGCTTTGCAGGGTATAACCTCCCCCTGGCTGCTTTCACGGGCTGACATTGAGTGTCTGTGGGTTTTCCCGGCACACGGTGCAAGCTGTTCGTGGACCTACCATTCTGGTGTCTGGAGGATGGTGGCCCTCTTCTCATAGCTTCACTAGGCAATGCCTCAGTGGGAATTCTGTGTGGAGGCTTCAACCCCACATTTCCCTTTCACACTGCCCTAGCAGAGGTTCTCCATGAAGGCCCTGCCCCTGCATCACACTTCTGCCTGGACATCCAGGCATTTCCATACATCCTCTGAAATCTAGGCAGAGGTTCCCAAACCTCAATTCTTGACTTCTGTGCACCTGAAGGCCCAACACCTCATGTAAGCTGCCAAGACTTGGGGCTTGCACCCTCTGAAACCATGGCCTGAGCTGTACCTTGGCCGCTTTTAGCCACAGTTGGAGTGGCTGGGATGCAGGTCACCAAGGCTGCACAGAGGAGGGGGGCCCTGGGCCTAGCACATTAAACCATTTTTTCCTCCTAGGCCTCTGGGCCTGTGATGGGAGGGGCTGCTGTGAAGGTCCCTGACATGCCCTGAGACATTTTCCCCATCCCATTGTCTTGCCAATTAACATTTGGCTCCTCACTACTTATGCAAATTTCTGGAGCCAACTTGAATTTCTCCACAGAAAATGGGTTTTTCTTTTCTATTGAATCATCAGGCTGCAAATTTTTCAAACTTTTATGCTCTGCCTCTCTTTTAAACTTAAGTTCCAATTCCAAACCATACCTTTGTCAATACAAAAAAACTCAATGCTTTTAACAGTGCCCAAGTCACATCTTGAGCACTTTGCTACTTAGAAATTTTTTCTGCCAGATGCCTAAATCATCTCTCTCAAGTTCAAAGTTCCACAGATCTCTAGGGCAGGGGCAAAATGCCTCCAGTCTCTTTGCTAAAACATAGCAAGAGTCACGTTTACTCCAGGTCCGAACAAGTTTCTCATCTCCATCTGAGACCACTTCTGCCTGGACTTTATTGTCCATATCACTATCAGCATTTTGGTCAAAGCCATTCAACAAATCTCTAGGAAGTTCTTAACTTTCCCATGTCTTCCTGTCTTTTGAGCCCTCCAAGTTGCTAGGGAGTTCCAATCTTTCCCACATTTTCCTGTCTTCTTCTGAGCCCTCTAAAGTGTTGCAACCTCTGCCTGTTACCCAATTTCAACATCGATTCCACATTTTGGGGTGTCCTTATAGCAGCACTGCATTCTGTCAGTACCAATTTACTGTATTAGTCAGTTCTCACGCTGCTAATAAAGACATACCTGAGACTGGGTAATTTATAAAGGAAAGACGTTTAATTGGCTCACAGTCCCACATGGCTAGGGAGGCCTCACATTAGAAGGCTAATGAGGAGCAAAGTAACATCTTACATGGCAGCAGGCAAGAGCATGTGTGCAGGGGAACTTCCCTCTATAAAACTATCAGATCTTATGAGACTTATTCACTATCATAACAGCACAAGAAAAACCTGCCCCCATGATTCAATTACCTCCCACCAGATTTCTCCCATGACATGTGGGGATTATGGGAACTACAATTCAAGATGACATTTGGGTAGGGACGCAGCCAAACCACATCAATAAGTAACACCAGCAACAACAGAGTAGAAGTACCAAGCATTAGCCTAAGGGCTTTACATGCATTTATTCATATAATCCTCATAATTACTCCATAAGGTAGTCAATATTATTATCTTTCCCACTTTAAAAAGAGGAAACTGAGGCCCAAGGAGGTTAAGTAACTTGTCTAATATTGCACATCATATGAATAGTAGAACCAGGATTTGTCTTCTAGATTAATCTTGATGGGAAAAATAGAACCAGTAAATGCCATAGGTATGAGGTTTCCAGAACTAAGATACCTATGTTTATAGCTCAGTTTTAATAGTTTTGTGGTCTTGGATAAGATATTTTCTTTTTTCTGTTTGTGTTTTCATTGTTAAAAATACCATATGACAGTTTTTAGAGTCGAGTGAGTTCTTTGCTGAGATCATCTGATTGTCTCAGGTTCTAGCTGCAACTAAGAGTTCCCTTATCCAGACTTTCAGAGTTATTCCTGAGAATAAAGGATTTTTCTGTGGGAGGGCCATTCTACCTTAATAGTCCATGTACTGTCAGTTCCTGGAGGTTGCTTTTGGATTAAGAAATTTCAGTATCTTATGGGCAAGGCTTGACTTTTTTTTTTTGCAGTGCAACTCCCTTAACTGTAGTAAGCTGCTGGATTATCTTATTTTTTGGACAATACCCGTGACAGAAGGGTTTGCCATCCATACTCTGAATCTGTAGTTGAAGCAGGGCCCCACACTGTTGGCTTCTTTGAAACATAAATGAATACTCTGCCCTTTCTGCTAGCTTTGAACTTTATACAATTGGCCTCAGGATTCTGTAATAGGGTAGGGTGGTAGTGAAGCCAGTCAATATGTTCTGGAATGCCATGCCTATCCCCAGGCTATATTCTGGCCCATGTGCTGGTCAATGAGAAACACCGAGTCTTTTGACAGGCAGTGAATTAGCAGCAGACGATTTTTGAAAGAAAATCAGTGCTTCCTGATTCTTTTAGTTTCCACCAAATATCTTTGTTACAATTGCCAAAGATCCCTCGTTTTGTTTAACAAAGCACTTAGTTTTTTAGCTAGTTTTTTAAGCTGCAGCAAATTTGCTGGTTGCAGTACAGCAAGGCTCTGATCATCTCATGCTTTGTAACTTCTAACATCTTGCTTCAGCTAGGAAATGGCTTTTCTTCACAAGATTACACACTTATTCCTCATGCCTGTAACCCCAGCACTTTGGGAGGCCAAGGCAGGTGGATCACGAGGTCAGGAGATCGAGACCATCCTGGCTAACACGGTGAAACCCCATCTCTATTAAAAATACAAAAAAATTAGCTGGGCATGGTGGTGGGCACCTGTAGTCCCAGCTACTCGGGATGCTGAGGCAGGAGAATAGCGTGAACCCGGGAGGTGGAGCTTGCAGTGAGCTGAGATCGCGCCACTGCACTCCAGCCTGGGTGACAGAGCGAGACTCTATCTCAAAGAAAAACAAAAACAAAAAACAAAAACAAAAACAAAGAAAAAGATTACACACTTATTCTAATATCCCTTCTCTGCCTTCCAATGGGCCCACATAAAGGGAGCTAGTCTCTTTTTATTGTCATTGAATGCCACATTTCCTATAGCTTCTAAACACACAAGCATTCTGCTAAGTTGTCCCAAAGCCTCCTTGCTCCAGCTTCAGTGAGCATGAGGCCTGAATCCCAACGGACAAAGGAGATGGTTTAGCTGCCTGCTTTGGTACAGCACAACATCTGCAGCTTCCCATCCTAGCAGCAGAATTCCCAAGTCTCATTATAAATTTCTCAAGCCTCACATGCTAGAATCTATCTTTTGCAGTATCCCGGTTCTTCCATATTCGTTTCTAATTAGTAATTTTCAATCTCAAGTAACTAACCCAAATCTAGCTAGTGCAAGGAGAAAATGAGAAATGTATTGGAAAGATATTAGGATAGTTGATAAAATCCAATGACAGTAATAGGCTTCAGGAACAAGTTGAAACCAGAACTGATATTTTCTGGTTAGCTTCATTTGTCTTTCTCCCTTCATCCCAGCTTTCTGTTTCCCAATTTGCATTTAAAGAAAAAAAGAAATTTAACTAGTGATAACTTTGTTTTATGAGTGATAAGCCTGAGCACCTTCATTTACTCTTGCAGTTGCTGGTGAAAAAACAGTTAGACCCAGGTTGGGTCACATGACTCAGTAAACCAATCAGCTATGACCAAGGGCCACAGTATAGAAGTGGGACAGAAATTATGTGACTGGAGAGAGAGATTTAAGGCGTGATTCTTAGAAGACAGGTGCTGAGTAGTCAAAGTAATATGTGTCCAGTTGCTGTAGCCAATGTTATCAAAACAGGTAGAGGAATCTTATATAGATTCATCTCCATTCAACTGATTAATTCAATGGTGATATGGCTTCTTACAGTGTGTTTAGAATCATGGAAATAGGCAGACACAGTGATTCACAAATACGTATTTAATTAGTTTAAAAATAAACAAATTAATAGAAATCTCTATCAATTCAACATAAGTTAATTTTAAAGAACTTCAATTAGGTGTACTAAAGAAAAAAAATAAAAACAAAAACAAAATCCTCCGCTTAATTACCAAAGAGAAGTACCTTAAATCTTAAATATTTGCTCTGGCTAGGCATGGTGCCTCTACCTGTTATCCCAGCACTTTGGGAGGCTGAGGCAGGAGAATCATTTGAGGCCAAGAGTTCAAGACTACCCTGAGCAACATAGCAAGACCCTGTCTCTACAAAAAAAAATTTTTTAAATTAGCCTGGTGGCACATGCCTGTAGTTTCAGCTATTTGGGAAGCTGAGGAGAGAGGATAGCTTAAGCCCAGAAGTTCCAGGTTACAGTGAGCTATCATCTCTCGGCACTCCAGCCTGAGTGACAGAGCCAGATCCTGTCTCAAAAAATAATTGCTCAGAAATTTATTTTCCTCATGAACTGCAGATCTGAATATGTATTCCAACATCTGGGAAGTACAGGGAAGGTATTTCTCATTATATTCAATGATGAGACAATGTATTGTTGCCTTCTTACTCTATCTGGCTCAATCCCATTACATCTATGCAAAGGAGGATCATGCTAAGTATTGACACAATTATTATTTCTCTAACAAAAGTAGGGAATCCTGTAATCCCAGCACTTTTGGGGCAGATCACTTGAGCTGAGGAGTTCAAGACCAGCCTGGGCAACATGGCAAAATCCTGGCTCTAGAAAAAAATACAAAAATTATCTGGATATGGTGGCATACACCTGTGGTCCCAGCTACTTGGGAGGCTGAGGTGGGAGGATTGCTTGAGCCTGGGAGGTTGAGGCTACAGTGAACTGAGATTGTAGTGAGCCACTGCACTCCAGCCTGGGTGACAGAGTGAGACCCTGCCTCAAAAAAAAGAAAGAAAGAAAAAGTAAGAGAGGAAGGGAGGGAGGGAGGGAAGGAGAAAGGAAGGAAAGAAGGAAAGAAGGAAGGAAGAAAGGAAGGAAGGAAGGAAGGAAAGGAAATTAGGGAATTTCTAGATATTGTAAGCTGTATTAACCTCCTGCTTCTTACATACTAATATCCTTGTATAAAAGGATAGCTGTTATTTATTATCAAAAGATGTTGACAAAAATTCTCACACCTATAAATTCAAGCATGTACCATGGTGTCCCTCACGATCCCTACCTTTCCTTCTTTCAACTTAGTTTAAAAATAGCCATGAAATTTCTCACTTGTTTTAGAAAAACATTTGGGAAGGAGATTCATCCTCAGTATCAATAGTGACATCAGGTAGTTCTCTTGTAGCTATTCAAAATGAAAATACTACTCAACCAGGCTAGAGTTTAGCTGGAGCTCTGGTACCTATTGTTCAATTTGGCTCTATGGTCCTTAGTAGTAGTGCAATGCTGCTGTCCATGGGACTACCCACCATCAAGGAGAGACTCTTTAAAAGGAAAAAGGGGTGGATAAAGTTTACATAATTGTGCCTTGATTCTTTAATCATTTACTCTTAAAAACTGTTTAATTTGAAACAATTTCAAGCTTGCAGAAAAGTTACACAAATGGTGCAAGAAAGACTGTTTTACCCTGAACCATTCGAGAATAAGTTGCCAGTATGCCCCATGACCTCTGAATCCTTTAGTGTGTAATTCCTACTAACAAGAACACTGTCCTATATACCCACATACAGCATCAATATTATATAGGAAATTAACATTGATATGTCACTACAACTAACCTCAAGACTCCATTCAACTTTTCCAGTTGCTCCAATAATATCCTGTATAGAAAAAGTATCTAGTCCAGATCACATGCTACACTGAGTTGTCATTTCTCCATAGGCACCTTCAATCTGATACAGTTCCTCAGTCTTTCCTTGACTTTCATGACTCTGACTATATAGATATAGATATAGATATAGATATAGATATATAGTCTCTCTCTCTCTCTCTCTCTATATATATATATATATATATAGTCTCTCTCTATATATTTGGTCCTTACTTCAGGTTCCTGGCACAGAGCTTCTAAAACCCTTAGAATTTCTTGGGTTATATAGCGGTGAGAGGAATCTTTTTTGTTGTTCATAAAAGCCTCTTTCAACCATACCTGAGTTTATGCTAATGAGGCAATTCTTGGAGGATCAGGGCTGGTTGCCAGAGGAACCAACCTTGTGATTAGAGGGTTGAAAATTTCAGCCTCATCCTCCAGTCTCCTGTGAGGGGAGAAGGGCTGGAGATTGAGTTCAATGACCAATGGTCAATGATTTAATCAATCATGCCAACCTAATGGAACCTCTTTAAAAGAAAAATCCTAAACAATGGGATTAAGAGAGCTTCCAGGTTGAGCAGGAACACATGTATGTGCCAGGAGAGCAGCAGACCTCAAACTCCATGGGGACAGAAGCTCCTGTGCTTGGGACTTTCCTAGACCTTGTCCTATGCATCTGTTATCTGGCTGCTCATTTGTATCCTTTAAAATGTCTTTTGTAGTAAATCAGTAATTGTTAGTAAACAGTTACCTAGGTTCTGCGAGATGTTCTAGCAAATTATGAACCTAAGGATGGAGTTGTGGCAACCTCCAATTTGTAGCCAAGTCAGACAGAATTAGTGGGTAACCTAGGAAGCCACTGCTTTCTACTGGCATCTGAGGTAGGAGGACAATTCTGTGGGACTGAGCCTTTAGTCTCTGGGGTCTGTGCTAACTCTGGGTAGGGTCAGAATTGAGTTAAATTGTAGGACACTCGGTGTGTGGTGAAAATTAGAGAATTAGTTGATGTGGGGGGAAAATCATACTTTTGGCGTCAGAAATGTTGTGAGGATAAGAAAAACTTGTTTTCTTTTTTATTGACTTTGACATTTTTAAAGGTGACAGATCCGGTTCCATATGGTGGAATATCCCTGCAGTTCAGTTCATCTGATATTCCTTCAGAAGCAGAGTCAGATCATGCTTCTTTGGCAGCAACATCATAAAAGCAATTCTGTGTTCTCGTTGTGTCTGTCAGGTGGCACATGGTTTTGATGTGTCTCATGATTGGTTATGTTAGCTTTGATTACTTGATTAAGGTGGTTTGCAAGGCTTCTGTACTATACTGTTTTTTTCTTTTTAACTAATAAGTATTTCGTAATAAAGTAAGTTGAAACCATGTGAATATAACATCCCTCAACAAAATTTCAATATATTCATTTATTCATTTATATCAGCATATCCATTTGCTTTTTTATCTTCCTTGGGTAAATAAGTCATTAGCATTCTGCAACAGATACTGTCTGCATCTAACCAATAACTCTGATTTCTGTACTAGCCAAAGACAATGCAGCTCTCTCCCTGGGGGTTCTTTCAGGTTGTAGGAGAATGCTCTAGCCTTGCTCAGGGCAAGCAGGAAGTCCTGAGGAGTTAATGTCCCCAAGGGCAGTTCTCAACCAATGAAGGTTGAAAGCTCATAGATACCACCGCCCACCCCTGACCCAGCTTCCTTGGCTCCTTGAGTTGGACAACTCTGAGCCTGTTCCTCACTGCTTCCCGGAATTCCTCAGAAGGACTGAGCCCCAGTGACCTGCTTCAGTATCTGCTGGATGACATAATCTTTATTATTGGCTCCCTTCCGCTTTCCATCGAAATTTCCCACACTCCTACCTCTGCTTCCTGGGATGTCTTATGAATAAGGTATTTTTACTCAAATCCTTTTCTCAAGCTCTGTTTCTGGGGAGTTCAGCCTAAGACACATGCCAGCCCACACCATGGAAACATTAAAGATTTCTCGGTGTTTGCAACAAACTCATCATCTGACTATTTGGGTATTATTTGGTCATTCCTTCAAGTCTTTGCTTTTCTTTATCTAAATGAAGGGTTCCTCTCCATGACACCAATTTCCCACCAAAGTGTTAAGCCAAAACAGGTGGACAGAATCAATTATTTCAGAATGTCCCCCAACTCCTTATAGCAGTGGGAAACCAGCCCAAAATTGTGTTAGCAAAATATTGTTGAAACAAGGTGCACGCATGCCATCTGGGTCAATCAGCTCATTAAAGTCAGAAGATTATGCAATTCGTTTCTTACTCTTTCGTATTTCCACAGTATGTTACGGTCAGTCCCTGAGGCTGACCAAAGCATCTGTTTCCCATCCTCCACAGTGTAGTTCTACTGGGAATTACCATTTTTACTTCATAAAAGCAAATGCATACACTGCATGGCATTTTCTTTTCAAGAGAAGGTTGAAATAATAATAATGTACTTGGACTTGCTATTCTTAACCCCCCTCAAAACCACGCAGTACAAACAACCACTAGACCAACTCTGTCTGGGAAGAGCATATTTAGAAAGAAGGAAGACACTATAGACAGTACCACATACAAGAAAGAAAATATAACGTCTCAGCCTGATACACTGTGGGATGCTGCAGGATGTTGACTCACTTTGCAACTATAGTCCTTCCTGAGCTTAGAAAAAAAACTACATAGTCTTTTATGCACTAAGAACAGCTCAAACAAATCTCTCCTGACCCTGCATTCCTGCAGGACTAGATGTCGCCACTGTTAATATCTGTATTGGACACTCTGTGTAATTATTTTTCCAAAAGAGCAGACCAAACAATTTCTCAAGTATACAAAACTCTCTGTACACACAGTACTCTCCTGTACAAGCAACAAGGATAGTTTGACAAGTGAAAAGAAGCAAGAAATATTGATGAAAATTTGAAAATAAACACATAGTTTCACCCTAATAAAGAATATATTTGCAAATAACACAACCTGCTAAATCTTGCTGGCAAATAAAGTAGATCCAACCATTCCAGCAGCCTCTCCTGAGGGAACTTTGAGTTTTTATGAAGAAAGTTTCCATAGTTATAAATAAATGTTCCAAACATCCCTATAATTACTTGTTTCTCCTAAACTATTATCTGGGCAGAAATTCATTTTACCTTACGCATATTTTATAACTGACCAGTAATAAGGAATTTAGTCCAGGAAGGTACATTTTTACTCTGGGCAGGATAAACTGTAAACAGGCCACCTCTACCTACAATGGTGTGCATTTCCTCCAGAATTCTACCTCTCATCAGAGACATGAGAGTCCTCTTGGCTGACTTCTGGACTAGGTACACATAGGATCACAGATCAAATCAATGACTTCTCAGCAAAATCTGCAAGAAAAAAAATCTTTCCCACTCAAACAAAAGTGCCTTCTACAAAGAAACTGGTTTGTACAAACTAATAACCAAATCCTTTCAGTCTTTCAGCTCCTTATTCTTGGCCTTGGGAAGATGTGTTTGGTTCCAATGGGGGAATCCTCAGAGGAAACGGAAGCCTGTTTTACTTGTTTGTTTTCACGGCCTTTGAATAGCCTGGATGCTTCTACAGTCATGTGTGCCAGGAGTAGAGTGTGCGTCATTAGTTTCCCTGGACTTTCTGGTCTTGTCCAAACCGCCAGTTCTGTTGATTTGCCTTGGTGAAAACATCCTCTCCAACTGATAGCTTTTTCTTTTTATATATATATATATATATTTTTTTTTAATTATACTTTAAGTTTTAGGGTACATGTGCACATTGTGCAGGTTAGTTACATATGTATACATGTGCCATGCTGGTGCGCTGCACCCACTAACTCGTCATCTAGCATTAGGTATATCTCCCAATGCTATCCCTCCCCCCTCCCCCCACCCCACAACAGTCCCCAGAGTGTGATATTCCCCTTCCTGTGTCCATGTGATCTCATTGTTCAATTCCCATCTATGAGTGAGAATATGCGGTGTTTGGTTTTTTGTTCTTGCGATAGTTTACTGAGAATGATGATTTCCAATTTCATCCATGTCCCTACAAAGGACATGAACTCATCATTTTTTATGGCTGCATAGTATTCCATGGTGTATATGTGCCACATTTTCTTAATCCAGTCTATCATTATTGGACATTTGGGTTGGTTCTAAGTCTTTGCTATTGTGAATAATGCCGCAATAAACATACGTGTGCATGTGTCTTTATAGCAGCATGATATATAGTCCTTTGGGTATATACCCAGTAATGGGATGGTGGGTCAAATGGCATTTCCAGTTCTAGATCCCTGAGGAATTGCCACACTGACTTCCACAAGGGTTGAACTAGTTTACAGTCCCACCAACAGTGTAAAAGTGTTCCTATTTCTCCACATCCTCTCCAGCACCTGTTGTTTCCTGACTTTTTAATGATTGCCATTCTAACTGGTGTGAGATGGTATCTCATTGTGGTTTTGATTTGCATTTCTCTGATGGCCAGTGATGATGAGCATTTTTTCATGTGTTTTTTGGCTGCATAAATGTCTTCTTTTGAGAAATGTCTGTTCATGTCCTTCACCCACTTTTTGATGGGGTTGTTTGTTTTTTTCTTGTAAATTTGTGTGAGTTCATTGTAGATTCTGGATATTAGCCCTTTGTCAGATGAGTAGGTTGCGAAAATTTTCTCCCATTTTGTAGGTTGCCTGTTCACTCTGATGGTAGTTTCTTTTGCTGTGCAGAAGCTCTTTAGTTTAATTAGATCCCATTTGTCAATTTTGTCTTTTGTTGCCATTGCTTTTGGTGTTTTAGACATGAAGTCCTTGCCCATGCCTATGTCCTGAATGGTAATGCCTAGGTTTTCTTCTAGGGTTTTTATGGTTTTAGGTCTAACGTTTAAGTCTTTAATCCATCTTGAATTGATTTTTGTATAAGGTGTAAGGAAGGGATCCAGTTTCAGCTTTCTACATATGGCTAGCCAGTTTTCCCAGCACCATTTATTAAATAGGGAATCCTTTCCCCATTGCTTGTTTTTCTCAGGTTTGTCAAAGATCAGATAGTTGTAGATATGCTGCCTTATTTCTGAGGGCTCTGTTCTGTTCCATTGATCTATATCTCTGTTTTGGTACCAGTACCATGCTGTTTTGGTTACTGTAGCCTTGTAGTATAGTTTGAAGTCAGGTAGTGTGATGCCTCCAACTTTTTTCTTTTGGCTTAGGATTGACTTGGCGATGTGGGCTCTTTTTTGGTTCCATATGAACTTTAAAGTAGTTTTTTCCAATTCTGTGAAGAAAGGCATTGGTAGCTTGATGGGGATGGCATTGAATCTGTAAATTACCTTGGGCAGTATGGCCATTTTCACGATATTGATTCTTCCTACCCATGAGCATGGAATGTTCTTCCATTTGTTTGTATCCTCTTTTATTTCCTTGAGCAGTGGTTTGTAGTTCTCTTTGAAGAGGTCCTTCACATCCCTTGTAAGTTGGATTCCTAGGTATTTGATTCTCTTTGAAGCAATTGTGAATGGGAGTTCACTCATGATTTGGCTCTCTGTTTGTCTGTTGTTGGTGTATGAGAATGCTTGTGATTTTTGTACATTGATTTTGTATCCTGAGACTTTGCTGAATTTGCTTATCAGCTTAAGGAGATTTTGGACTGAGACGATGGGGTTTTCTAGATATACAATCATGTCATCTGCAAACAGGGACAATTTGACTTCCTCTTTTCCTAATTGAATAACTTTTATTTCCTTCTCCTGCCTAATTGTCCTGGCCAGAACTTCCAACACCATGTTGAATAGGAGTGGTGAGAGAGGGCATCCCTGTCTTGTGCCAGTTTTCAAAGGGAATGCTTCCAGTTTTTGCCCATTCAGTATGATATTGGCTGTGGGTTTGTCATAGATAGCTCTTATTATTTTGAAATACGTCCCATCAATACCTAATTTATTGAGAGTTTTTAGCATGAAGCGTTGTTGAATTTTGTCAAAGGCCTTTTCTGCATCTATTGAGATAATCATGTGGTTTTTGTCTTTGGCTCTGTTTATATGCTGGATTACATTTATTGATTTGCGTATATTGAACCAGCCTTGCATCCCAGGGATGAAGCCCACTTGATCATGGTGGATAAGCTTTTTGATGTGCTGCTGGATTTGGTTTGCCAGTATTTTATTGAGGATTTTTGCATCAATGTTCATCAAGGATATTGGTCAAAAATTCTCTTTTTTGGTTGTGTCTCTGCCAGGCTTTGGTATCAGAATGATGCTGGCCTCATAAAAAGAGTTAGGGAGGATTCCCTCTTTTCTATTGATTGGAATAGTTTCAGAAGGAATGGTACCAGTTCCTCCTTGTACCTCTGGTAGAATTCGGCTGTGAATCCATCTGGTCCTGGACTCTTTTTGGTTGGTAAGCTATTGATTATTGCTACAATTTCAGATCCTGTTATTGGTCCATTCAGAGATTCAACTTCTTCCTGGTTTAGTCTTGGGAGAGTGTATGTGTCAAGGAATTTATCCATTTCTTCTAGATTTTCTAGTTTATTTGCATAGAGGTGTTTGTAGTATTCTCTGATGGTAGTTTGTATTTCTGTGGGATCGGTGGTGATATCCCCTTTCTCATTTTTTATTGTGTCTATTTGATTCTTCTCTCTTTTTTTCTTTGTTAGTCTTGCTAGCAGTCTATCAATTTTGTTGATCCTTTCAAAAAACGAGCTCCTGGATTCATTAATTTTTTGAAGGGTTTTTTGTGTCTCTATTTCCTTCAGTTCTGCTCTGATTTTAGTTATTTCTTGCCTTCTGCTAGCTTTTGAATGTGTTTGCTCTTGCTTTTCTAGTTCTTTTAATTGTGATGTTAGGGTGTCAATTTCAGGTCTTTCCTGCTTTCTCTTGTGGGCATTTAGCGCTATAAATTTCCCTCTACACACTGCTTTGAATGTGTCCCAGAGATTCTGGTATGTTGTGTCTTTGTTCTCGTTGGTTTCAAAGAACATCTTTATTTCTGCCTTCATTTCGTTATGTACCCAGTAGTCATTCAGGAGCAGGTTGTTCAGTTTCCATGTAGTTGAGCGGTTTTGAGTGAGATTCTTAATCCTGAGTTCTAGTTTGATTACACTGTGGTCTGAGAGATAGTTTGTTATAATTTCTGTTCTTTTACATTTGTTGAGGAGAGCTTTACTTCCAAGTATGTGGTCAATTTTGGAATAGGTGTGGTGTGGTGCTGAAAAAAATGTATATTCTGTTGATTTGGGGTGGAGAGTTCTGTAGATGTCTATTAGGTCCACTTGGTGCAGAGCTGAGTTCAATTCCTGGGTATCCTTGTTGACTTTCTGTCTCATTGATCTGTCTAATGTTGACATTGGGGTGTTAAAGTCTCCCATTATTAATGTGTGGGAGTCTAAGTCTCTTTGTAGGTCACTCAGGACTTGCTTTATGAATCTTGGTGCTCCTGTATTGGGTGCATATATATTTAGGATAGTTAACTCTTCTTGTTGAATTGATCCCTTTACCATTATGTAATGGCCTTCTTTGTCTCTTTTGATCTTTGTTGGTTTAAAGTCTGTTTTATCAGAGACTATGATTGCAACCCCTGCCTTTTTTTGTTTTTCATTTGCTGGTAGATCTTCCTCCATCCTTTTATTTTGAGCCTGTGTGTGTCTCTGCATGTGAGATGGGTTTCCTGAATACAGCACACTGATGGGTCTTGACTCTTTATCCAATTTGCCAGTCTGTGTCTTTTAATTGGAGCATTTAGTCCATTTACATTTAAAGTTAATATTGTGATGTGTGAATTTGATCCTGTCATTATGATGTTAGCTGGTTATTTTGCTTGTTAGTTGATGCAGTTTCTTCCTAGTCTTGATGGTCTTCACATTTTGGCATGATTTTGCAGCGGCTGGTACCTGTTGTTCCTTTCCATGTTTAGCGCTTCCTTCAGGAGCTCTTTTAGGGCAGGCCTGGTGGTGACAAAAATCTCTCAGCGTTTGCTTGTCTGTAAAGGATTTTATTTCTCCTTCACTTATGAAGCTTAGTTTGGCTGGATATGAAATTCTGGGTTGAAAATTCTTTTCTTTAAGAATGTTGATTATTGGTCCCCACTCTCTTCTGGCTGATAGTGTTTCTGTCAAGAGATCTGCTGTTAGTCTGATGGGCTTCCCTTTGTGGATAACCCGACCTTTCTCTCTGGCTGCCCTTAACATTTTTTCCTTCATTTCAACTTTGGTCAATCTGACAATTATGTGTCTTGGAGTTGCTCTTCTCGAGGAGTATCTTTGTGGCGTTCTCTGTATTTCCTGAATTTGAACATTGGCCTGCCTTGCTAAATTGGGGAAGTTCTCCTGGATAATATCCTGCAGAGTGTTTTCCAACTTGGTTCCACTCTCCCCATCACTTTCAGGTACACCAATCAGACGTAGATTTGGTCTTTTCACATAGTCCCATATTTCTTGGAGGCTTTGCTCATTTCTTTTTATTCTTTTTTCTCTAAACTTCCCTTCTCACTTCATTTCATTCATTTCATCTTCCATCACTGATACCCTTTCTTCCAGTTGATCACATCAGCTCCTGAGGCTTCTGCATTCTTCACATAGTTCTCGAGCCTTGGTTTTCAGCTCCATCAGCTCCTTTAAGCACTTCTCTGTATTGGTTATTCTAGTTATAGATTCTTCTGAATTTTTTTCAAAGTTTTCAACTTCTTTGCCTTTGGTTTGAATGTCCTCCCGTAGCACAGAGTAATTTGATCGTCTGAAGCCTTCTTCTCTCAGCTCGTCAAAGTCATTCTCCATCCAGCTTTGTTCCGTTGCTGCTGAGGAACTGCGTTCCTTTGGAGGAGGAGAGGTGCTCTGCTTTTTAGAGTTTCCAGTTTTTCTGTTCTGTTTTTTCCCCATCTTTGTGGTTTTATCTACTTTTGGTCTTTGATGATGGTGATGTACAGATGGGTTTTTGGTGTGGATGTCCTTTCTGTTTGTTAGTTTTCCTTCTAACAGACAGGACCCTCAGCTGCAGGTCTGTTGGAATACCCTGCTGTGTGAGGTGTCAGTGTGCCCCTGCTGGGGGGTGCCTCCCAGTTAGGCTGCTCGGGGGTCAGGGGTCAGGGACCCACTTGAGGAGGCAGTCTGCCCATTCTCAGATCTCCAGCTGCGTGCTGGGAGAACCACTGCTCTCTTCAAAGCTGTCAGACAGGGACATTTAAGTCTGCAGGGGTTACTGCTGTCTTTTTGTTTGTGTGTGCCCTGCCCCCAGAGGTGGAGCCTACAGAGGCAGGCAGGCCTCCTTGAGCTGTGGTGGGCTCCACCCAGTTGGAGCTTCCTGGCTGCTTTGTTTACCTAAGCAAGCCTGGGCAATGGCGGGCGCCCCTCCCCCAGCCTCGCTGCCACCTTGCAGTTTGATCTCAAACTGCTGTGCTAGCAATCAGCGAGACTCCGTGGGCGTAGGACCCTCCGAGCCAGGTGCGGGATATAATCTTGTGGTGCCCCATTTTTTAAGCCAGTCGGAAAAGCGCAGTATTCGGGTGGGAGTGACCCGATTTTCCAGGTGCGTCCGTCACCCCTTTCTTTGACTCGGAAAGGGAACTCCCTGACCCCTTGCGCTTCCCAAGTGGGGCAATGCCTCGCCCTGCTTCGGCTCGCGCACGGTGCGCGCACCCACTGACCTGCACCCACTATCTGGCACTCCCTAGTGAGATGAACCCGGTACCTCAGATGGAAATGCAGAAATCACCATCTTCTGCGTCGCTCACGCTGGGAGCTGTAGACCGGAGCTGTTCCTATTCGGCCATCTTGGCTCCTGTCCCTGATAGCTTTTTCATAACGTTAAAAGTGAGTATGTAAAATGATTTGAATCACACTTTTAAAACCAAAGATAAAGGCTAAGACAAGATTTTCCAGATACTTGGTAAGATTTGGGGAAAAAAATTTCTGCAAACAAATTTTAAAAATCCATACTGGAGAAAAAATGAGGTAATATAATGAATACTAAAGTCATGTTTTAAGGAATGTTTTATCTGGAGTTTACCATCTTATAACAAATATTTTTGAAGCTGAAGTTAACACCTGTAATGGTATCTGTAGGTCAGTGGACTGATTCAGAGGCAAAGGGCTGTTTTGCTTAAATATCATGCCACCTAATTAGACTCTACACTTTTTAATTTAAAAAATTCTAGTTTCTTTTTAGTTAGAATTAAAATGAACATGAAAATTGATAAGCAAATATATAAAAGAGCTATAATATGTAACTGCTTCTTATCAGTCACTGGTTATTTATTAAATATTTATTTGTGTCCACAGTTGTGCCAAGTTCTAAGGAAATGTGAATGAAATATGAAAACATGATTTTAAACTTTAATAGACTTTCTGTTAATTAGGGGGAGGGATGCAAAACAACAATTTTGTTTTGTTCTGTTTTGAGACAAAGTCTCACTTGTTGCCCAGGCTGGAGTGCAGCAGCGCCATGATGGCTCACTGCAGCCTCGTCGGGTGATCCTCGCACCTCAGCCTCTCGAGTAGCTGGGACCACAGGCATGAACACCATGCTCAGCTCATTTTTGTATCTTTTGTAGAGACAGGGTTTTGCTGTGTTGCCCAGGCTGGTATCGAACTACTCGGCTCAAGCAAACCACCTACTTCAGCCTCCCAAAATGTTGGGATTACAGGTGTGAGCCACTGCACCCGGCAAAAACAACAGTTCTGACTATATCATTTCAAAAATTTCCAGTGACCCCCTCTTTTAACCAGTGATACCATTACATGGTATTTAAGGACTTCCTCCATGTACACTATCCCACAGTTCTCCTCCAGACACTCTAAAGCACAGTTAGACGACAGTGGCTCATTAGTCCTTGATAGTGCCCTCACCAGACTCCACGCCTGTGTCAGGCAGTGCCTGCCAGAGTGCTCTCTCTCTCGGTA